>NC_000010.11:17737272-17888787 GCF_000001405.40 Homo sapiens | reverse complement strand
CAATCAACCAGATCTCATTGACATCTGTAAACTACTTCTTCCAATAATAGTAGAATATACATTCTTCTCAAGATCACATGAAACATTCACCAAGACAGACCATATTCTGAGCCATAAAACATGCCTTAACAAATTTAAAAGAATAGAAAACACATAAACTATTCTCTAAGACCACAATGGAATTAAACTAGAAATCAGTAACAGTTGGAGAATTCCAAAATACCTAGAAATTAAAGAAAATGTTAAGTCAATAATAATACACTAATAGTGACACACAAAGACAACCAAAAAAAGGTGACTGCAGTTTTTCTGAATGAAAGTACTTAAGAGACATGTCACTGTGAAGTCAGCACATCTTTAACCCATCCCTTGAGCTACAGTGAATCACAGCCTACACTCCTGCCACAGACATCTTGTCAACCTGCAGTGTCTTCATCCCATGTGCTGCAACTATCAGGCAACCTGAAACTTACATTTCAAAAGTTCTCCACTCACCCTATTTCCTTTCTTAACTATTTTTACCCCCCATTATCCTGGCTCAGAGTCTCTGATCCAGAAAACCTGTTACAATCCAAGCATATTTCCACCACAAAACACATATTAAAAGTTCTCTCCCATTCTCTTTTTCTAACTATATTTAATCCTCTCCATTTTAAAGTCCTGAAATTGTTTTTAAAAAATTATTGCTGGGAGTGGTGGCTCACGCCTGTAATCCCAGCACTTTGGGAGGCCAAGGCAGGTGTATCACGAGGTCAGGAGTTCGAGACCAGTCTGGCCAACATAGTGAAACCCCATCTCTACTAACAGTACAAAAAAAATTAGCCAGGTGTGGTGGTGTGCACCTGTAATCCCAGCTATTTATGAGGCTGGGGCAGGAGAATCACGTGAACCCGGGAGGTGGAAGTTGCAGTGAGCCGAGATTGCACCATTGCACACCAGCCGGGCGACAGTGTGAGACTCCATCTCAAAAAAATAAAATAAAATAAAAAGCATTATGTGTATTTTGATTCCATTTTTGTGAAATATAAACTTTATCTGTTTATATGCACTATGAAAATGTCTGGGAGAAAAAATCAACAAAAATGAGCAGTGTTGTTTTTCTGAATTGGTGAGATTACAGATTTTGTTTGTTAGTTTGTTTTTATTGTTTCTGCCTTTCTTTATGTTCTAGAAACAACAAAAATATGTGCAATAATGAACGTTTTTGATTTACAAGAAATTCACCTCTCATCCATTAAATCTAAGCTAATGCTATCTCGCTCCATTCTACTTTCGCTTCTTCAGTAAGTCTTTCAGCCCTCATTGGTGTCATGAGAATGAAAGAATTTCTCCACAGAAAATTATTTACCCATCACCAGTTTTTTGTTTGTTTGTTTTGTTTTGTTTTGTTTTGTTTTGAGGCGGAGTCTCGCTCTGCAGCCCAGGCTGGAGTGCAGTGGCGCGATCTCGGCTCACTACAAGCTCCGCCTCCGGGGTTCATGCCATTCTCCTCCCTCAGCCTCCGGAGCAGCTGGGATGACAGGCGCCCACCACCACGCCCGGCTAATTTTTTTTGTATTTTTAGTAGAGACGGGGTTTCTCCCTGTTAGCCAGGATGGTCTCGATCTCCTGACCACCAGTTATGTTTTATCTAGAGTAAAAGCAATGTTATTAGAGAAGTAAAGAAAGAAAAGAATGGCTACTTCACAGACACAGCAACCCTATGGGCTGCTGTCTGGCTCCATCACCAGAATGTATTCACCCGGCAAATAGCTACCAAATTATTAATGGTCATAAAAATGCCATTTTGAATAGGTCATTTTTCCACTGCTTTTTTTGTTGTTGTTGCTTATTCGACAAAGTTCAGACTCCATCACAGGGCATCTACATTTCTCTAAATTCTATTTCCCACCTTTTGAAGCTTACTCCTACTTCTTTTTCTGGATAAAACTCCTGCTGTATTCAAAGCCATTTACTCCATTTGCCCAAACACATCATGTATCTCTTGCTTGAAGGCTGCCCACCTTGACCATCTAACATGGCCTTTCTCAACCTTTTGCTAAGTTCCCCTAATTATTATGTTTTAAATTTATTGAAACAAAAACCTGAATGGGCGTGGTGGCTCATGCCTGTAATCCCAGCACTTTGGGAGGCCAAGGTAGGTGGATCACTTCAGGTCAGGAGTTGGAGGCCACCCTGGCCAATATGGTAAAAGCCCATCTCTACTAAAAATGCAAAAATTAGTCAGGCATGGTGGTGGGCACCTGTAATCCCAGCTACTTGGGAGGCTGAGGCAGGAGAATCTTTGAACCTGGGAGGTGGAGATTGCAGTGAGCCGAGATCATGCCACTGCACTCCAGCCTGGGTAACAGGGTGGCAATAGGTTGAGAGATTGACAGAGTGAAAAAGGGAGAGGGAAAGGGACAGTGAAAGAGGGAGAGGGAGAGGGAGAGGGAGGGAGGGAAAGAAGAAGGAAGGAAGGAAGGAAGGAGGGAAGGAAGGAAGGAAGGAAGGAAGGAAGGAAGAAAACACCCATAGTTGATTCTTTTTTATATTTCTTCCCTCCACCATGTCATGCAGACAGTGTCTAGCACATAGGACACCATAGACGTATGTCAACTGATTAAATCACCCCATCCCACAGTGAGTTTCTTTCCTCTTAGCTGCTACAGTGTTTATAGCTGATGCTGTCACTAGACATGTTCATTTCTTTCCTATCTTCCTTCTTATATAAGACTTGTGGTCTAGTTTAAGTGTACACACTTTTAAGGTAAAAACAAAATCTTCTATTTCTTCACACTTTTTATAATCCCTAACATGGTGTTGATGTTGATAAGTTGGCTGTTCAATTATATAAGAATAAAAGTAGTAAAATAAAGTAGCAATCTGTCTTCCAGGTTAATGTACAAAAGCATCTGGCACATAATAAGCAGTCTACAAATATTAGCTCATGATCATGATCATGATCATGATCATGATCATGATGGATGATGATCATATGATCTTTAGAAGCAGTAGTAGCTTCCAGGCCTACACCCCAAATACTAAAACAGCTACAAGGAATAAGGGGAAGGTGATACAAAGAAAGTTGATAACTCTAGGTTGAAGTGTTTCTTTTGACTGCAAGTTAGGCTCAGAATGGAACTGGGTTTCCTGACCTCTCACTATTGCCACTTCCTCAAGCCAAAGATTTTTTAACTGAATTTATACTCCCTCTCTCAAAGTCAGCTCAGTCTGAAATAGGTAAAATCTGCAAGCATAGAACAGATCAAGGAGTATTCTGGTAGATTCTTTCATGGAACAGTAATCAATAAGATGATAACCCTGTGCAAGCTGATGGTGTGTAGAGAGGTGACCTGAATCTGATATTTACATCTTCATAAGAAAGACTGCTTCTTCTTCCACCAGGGTAACCTTTCCCCCAGTTTGTGTAATGGACTCCTCGTCCATCCGTCCAAAGGAACGTGTGTTCTGAATTGACATCATTCAGCCCAGTCCAGGCACTGAAAGTGGAGTCCTTCATGTGATAGGTAAGAAATGCTGAAAGAAAATTTCATGATATAATTTTAAACTTTGAGAGTTAATACTCAAAATATGGAAAATATTCAAAATATATGAATTTCAAAATATTTAGCATGTGACTTGTGTCATTGTTACTTAAAAATACCTACCATGAACACACAAACATTCTAATATCAGCATTGTGTTGTCACTTGCGCTTTGGACTTTGAAAAGTTTCATACAATAAAAGTCTAGGTTTTATCTAGGCCACTGAAGACACTTGTGCAAGTTGCACCCTGCCCAAGGGCTCCATTCTGTGCGCCCCTATCTGGGTCGTGGCTGCCTACAACCAAAACTTTTTCTAATTCATAAAAAGTCACCGTATGGATTAGCAGCTGTCCCGATTCTGTAAATAAGATAATCTGATTTATATAATAACTATGGGACAAAGGACTCTTAACCCAGACAGTTCTGAAAAAATAAAAACTGTCAAAACAAGAATCATTAGGCTGTTGATATGGTTTGGCTCTGTGTCCCCACCCAAATCTCACCTGGAATTGTAATAATTCCCATGTATTAAGGGTGGGACTAGGTGAAGGTAATTGAATCATGGGGGAGGTTTCTCCCATTCTGTTCTCCTGATAGTGAATGAGATGAGTTCTTACAAGAGCTGATGGTTTTATCTTTTAATGCTTTGCTTTGCACTTCTCTCTCCTGCCACCATGTGAAGAAGGACATGTTTGCTTCCCCTTCCACCATGATTGTAAACTTCCTGAGGCCTCCCCAGCCATGTGGAAGTGTGAGTCAATCAAACCTCTTTCCTTTATAAATTACCCAGTCTCCGGCAGCTCTTAATAGTAGTGTGAGAACAGACTAACACAGCTATCAAATTATCAGTATCTCAGATTGCCAAACCAAAAGTTTCCCAATTGAGATTCCTCCTGGGGAGGTGGGGGAGAAATCCCTGAGATCAGTTGCCCATATACTCAGTGTGCTTGGATCTAGGGGACCATCCTGATGCTAAAATGCTCACATCAGGGGCTGGGGATGGTGGCTGGTGCTTATAATCCTAGTGCTTTGGGAGGCAGAGACAGCAACATTGCTTGAGGCCAGGAGTTCAAGATCAGCCTGGGCAACATGGCGACACCCTGTCTCTACAAAGAAATACAAAAATTAACAAAGCATCGGTGTCATGCGCCTGTAGTCCCAGCTTCTCAAAAGGCTGAGGCAGGAGGATTACTTGAGCCCAGGAGGTCGAGGCTGCAGACAGCCATGGTTGTGCCACTGTACTTGAGCCTGTGCAACAGAGGGAGACCCCATCTCTACACAAATCAATTAGTAATAAAGTGCTCACATCACTGGATGAGACTATAGAATATGGCTTCTTGCTTATCAGTTCTGTGGCCAAGAGGATGGTGGCAAACATCCAAGAGACATAAAAGGTTGAATTGTACATGTGCCCCTCCCCTTCCCTCAGCGTACCTCCAGGCCTCCCATGGCAGCTGCCATCTGGGGCCAACACCACCACCTGAGTCATTAACTCCTAGACCAACAAGTACCTACTCTACTGAACAACACTTTGCAAACATTTACACTTAAACACATCTGCTGAACATAAATAGGAAATAGAATGACTAAGCATCCAGGGTTACTTATAGAAAATGCAAAATAAAAATCTGCAGAGATGCAATTATCTGTGTATTCATGAACAAACAATCTCATAAAATTTCAAGCAATTCCATTGCTATACGCTTACTCTTTCTGCAGAGTAGAAGAGGCAGCTACCGTCTCAGAGACTTCTGTTTTTCTTAATTAAGGATTTAAAAAAAAAAAAAAACTCTTCCACCGTTTTTCAGAAAAGAAAAAGCAGCATGAGTACAGCTAGATATGGTGGCTCACATCTGTAATCTCAACAATTTGGGAGGTCAAGGTGGGAGGATCACTTGAGATCAGAAGTTTTAAGCCAGCCTGGGCAACATAGCAAGACCCTCTCTCTACAAAAAAATTTAAAAATTAGTCAGGTATGATGGTGCACACCTGTAGTCCCAGCTACTTGGGAGGCTAAGACATGAGGATTACTTGAGTCCAGGAGTTGGAGGCTGCAGCGAGCTATAATCACATCAATGCTCTCCAGCCTGGGTGATCAAGCGAGACCCTATCTCTAAAAAGAAAAGAGCATGGGTAGATATTTGTTTTGGTTTTATTTTGTTTTCCAAATAAGATCATAACTTTTGCCTCATCCCCAGCTTGAAATGAAACATGGAAAAGCTCTACCTGCCAAGATTCAGCACTTTTTTTCTGCCTACAACCACAATAAGAATTCAACTACGTGTGCCTGTTTTGCCAGGAATAATGTTATTTTATCTGCAAATTGTTTCCTTCTGCACATCTCTATTATCCAGTTTCAATTTCACTATGCCAGGAATCAGCACTTTGTGGTTAAGAGGAGAAATCAATTATTGTGTTTCTCTGCTGGGTAGCTAAGCCCAAAATGGGGTAGGCCAGTTGGAGAAATGTGAATGTTATGTTCTTGTACTGTGTGCTTTGGTTTGACCCTTTTCTTTCAGTGCCTGACAAATTGCTCAACTTGTCAAATGTTCTCGGTAAAAGCTTGGTTGGGATTTATTGTACAATGTGTTCTCAGAGAGCACATGGTGGCATTCACAAAGCCAAATAAACTTTTGAGAGAGCACCCTACATGTTTCTAGTGCCTTTCTTATTTCCTATGTTTTTCTTCTATTTTCTTTCTCATATCATTTTTGAAATAAATGATTCTAGAAGTCAAAGAATCTCTGAACCAAAAGAGAGCTTACATAACATTCAGTCCATATGTCTCCTACCATGTCCTTATAAAGTTATATATACAACAAACAACTGTTGAGCATCTTCTATACTACATACCAGCCAACATACCAGCCATTGTTCTGTAACAATGGCCCCCTAATTTTGAGCCTAAATCTATTTCCCTGTGACCATCACTCATTGGTTCCACGTCTTCTATCTGAGGCGACACAGGATGATCCTTCAAAGTCCACACCCTCTCTTTTCCAAGCTGTATAACTTGAGGGTCTTTCAACCCTGACTCACTTGCAGTGATTTCGAAACCCTTCATCAGTTTAGTCTTAATCTCCTGCAGTTAGTCAACACCCTCCTCAAAGGGCAAGTCACAATTTAACCTAATACCTATTTCAGTGGATGCCTCCACAGAAAGATCATGCAGAAATGGTGGGTACCTTTCTTTTGACGACAACATCATGAATTTTACCATCTGCTCTATGGATATGGTGAATATCCTCCTTCATAGTTCTGGCTTATTTTCATGTTTTATCAAAAAATATTTCAAAGCCAGGTATGGTGACTCACACCTGTAATCCTAACACTTTGGGAGGCTGAGATGGGAGTTTAAGACCAGCCTGGGCAACATAGTGAGACTCTATCTCTACCAAAAAAAAAAAAAAAAAAAAAAAAAAAAACTTTAAAAAATATTAGGCGAGCATTGTGGCCCAGGCCTGCCCTAGCTACTGAGGAAGCTGAGGCAAGAGGATTGCTTGAGCTTAGGAGTTCGAGGCTGCAGTGAGTTATAATCCTGGGCAACAGAGTAAGACCTTGTTACCAAAAAAAAAAAAAAAAAAAAAAATCAAAATTTGTTCAAAGTTCATATTTAAAATATCAACTTTGCTGCATTACAAGTTCTATGATCAAGTGACTAGAAGAGCAATAAATGGGAAAGCAGCAATTTTACATCTTATTCTTAGAAGTACTCTTCTTTGACTCTTTGGGAGCAAACTGATTTGGTAGAAAGCTGGACAAACCTAGGTTTGACTCCCAGCTCTAATGCTTAACAGGCAAGCTCCTTCACTCAAAGCTGTCTATGCACCATTTCTCCACTCACAAAATGGGGTCATAATACCTGCTTCTTAGAGTTGTGATGACTTTATATAAAATAAACAGCTTAATACGTGCTATAATGGAATAAAATAGTTTTCAATAAGCATTTGATTTTTTCCACTTTTTTAGCTTTTACACTGGAAAACCAAAAAGTCAGTTACTGTCAGCAATATTTTACCATTTTGCAGTCAGAATTCCATATTTAAACACACAACTAATTGCAAAATGGCCTGCCTACCTTGCTCTTTTTCATTTTGTATGGAGACCAGATTCCCTCCAAAGCCTATACAAGCTTTTCGTGCCTCTTGCCAATTTTTTCTTTCTTCTTCCATAAATCCAAAGATTTTGAAACACTGGGATGGAAGAGGGGCAGAGAAAAAAAGAAAAACTGCAGGGGTTAACTAAAGATGATCAACTTTGCTCTACAAAAAGCAAAATTATTCATGAAGATTATAGCTAAATCAGAATTTTCTCACCACCAACTGGAGATTTAAAAAATTGTTAGTTTTATGACCCACTCACTTTCTTTGCAAAGTTTTATTCTCCCTTGGGAGAAAGGATACATCCATGTGGATAATATCTCAAGTATGCTCTCAATTTCCATAAAGAGTTTGTCACGCGAATTTTCACCTATTCTTGCCAAAAATTTTCTAAAGTAATGAGGCTAGCAAAAGTTAACTTTGAGCTGAAAGATTTGCATCACTCTCCATACTGATCAGTGCCAAGATTGCAACTAATTTTCCTAGTACCTTGTTGCTGTAGAAATTCCAACCTTCCTTGCACCCTGATGGGACCGAGGGCATGGTAGGCATAACTGTGGTAGCATTGATACTACTGTTATGTCGCTGGCAAATGAAGGCGTTTGGATAGCCACAGTTAATGTCATTCCAAAACCCTGGCAAAGAGAGAAATAGTTAAATTAGATTCATATGTTTATGTTTTAAAACATTATTTTAAAAAATATATTTCTATTTTACAAGAATTCTCAAAACTTATTTAGACTATAATCAAACTTTATTTTTATATGTGACTAGAGGTATCCATGCAATATCCTTTTGCTGTTTTACTTAAACTAATAATAGTTCCACTTTATAGAGAGCATCCTATGAACCAAACATGTACATGATGTTGCAGATATATTACCTAAATGGTAGTAGCTAATCATAATAATCTAACAACAGCAAACTTTGTATACACCGAGCATCTACATAGTATTTTAGATGTATGATTTCATTTTATCTTCTCAACAATTGATAGATTGTGTCATTATTCCCATTTTGCAGAATAATAAGGAGCCAGAGAGAAATAAAGGAGATAGATAAACAAATTCTGGATAAGTTTTTTCAAATCAGAACATGAAAAAATGGTTCCTAATTTGGGAAGAAGTGAGAAGATTAACTATGTCATTTACTAGTGTAAATGTTAAGCATCTATTCTCGTTACAAGTTGAACTGTTAGGCTGCCAAAATTAGAATTCTCCTTTATTCTCTCTTCTTATCTTGTCTGATGTAAGCACACAACTTGCTACTTTTAGTCTAGGGATGTGGCAAATGACACGCCACGCCACAAAGCAAATTCAATATGCATGACTTGCCTACCTGAATTTGAATACATGGTCACACAGTTTTCATCTTCATTTGCAAAATTGGGTTCACCTGTGGCCCAAGACACGTAATCCACTTTGCTTCCATCCATCCAACTGGAAAAGAAAATTCAGGCATTTTGAAACGATCCAATCATTAGACTAATTGGATACAGGCCAGGAGCAGTGGCTCACGCCTGTAATCCCAGCACCATGGGAGGCCGAGGCGAGTGGATCACCTGAGGCCAGGAGTTCGAGTCTAGCCTGACCAACATGGGGAAACTCCATCTCTACTAAAAATTAAAATTAAAAAAAAATTAGCCAGGCATGGTTGTGGGCTCCTGTAATCCCAGCCACTCAGGAGGCTGAGGCAGGAGGATCGCTTGAACTGGGAGGCGGAGGCTGCAGTGAACCAAGATCGCACCATTGCACTCCAGCCTGGGCTACAAGAGCAAAGCTCCACCTCATAAAAAAGAATAGTTGGCTACAGCCTACTGGTGGGACAGGACAAGTCAACCCAGAAGAGGGAGACCTCCAGAGAGTGGCAGGAAAACCCCCAATGCCTGAGTATGTGGTGTGTCCTATGCATCATGCTCCGCAGTAGCAACCCTGATGCCATGTCCAGGCTACCTTCTTTTCCCTCCCAGGAAGAAACCACCTTTAGTCGCAAAGTGGAGACCCTGATTACTCTGGAAGTGAGCCAGAGACAAAAATCCTCCCATCGTACTCCCCGGGCATGATTCCCACAAAACCAAACCACCCATGGAGAGGCAGAGTGTATAGAATTTCTCATTAGACTCATTCTCTGATTCTCGTGTTTACTCTAGTTTCTTGTAATGTAGGTGGGCTAAACTTATGTCTATAAATTATAGAAATTCAGAGACTGTGAGAGCCAGAAGGGGACCAGCCATGAGATCATGAAATTTGACCTTTTCACTTTAGAAATGATAAAATGGCGTTCCTTGTCCAAAGCAAGATCCAACATTTTTACTCTTTAAAAATAATGACCCTGTGGGGTATGGTGGTGCATGTCCGTCATCCCAGCTACTTGGGAGGCTGAAGCGGAAGGATTGCTTGAACCCAGGATTTCGAGGCTGTAGTGAGCTGTGATCACCCCACTGCACTCCAGCCTGGGCAACAGAGCAAGACCTTTCTCAAATAATAATAATAAAAATAATGACCTTGAATTTAGGTCTCTATTGCTCAAAGATGACAATAGCAGTCCCCTGGAACATGTAAGGCTAAAAAAATCTGCACATGAGCCAGGAGGACGTATCTGCCCTTCAAACTCTAGAGGACATATGTATTAAGGTACAAGAAAAAAGAACATAAAATGTATTCATTTTCTCATGTCCCTACAGCTTTTTCTGGCTCCTATATCTAATAGAAAATGGTACAATCACCCTTTTAAAGGGAATGTATTTCCTGCAGATTTAAAGTGTGCTTCAAAATAGTGCTGCTAACACAGGGAACAGGGCAATAGGAAAGGATACTGTGGTTCCCAGCAGCAAGGTTAGCAAGGTTATCATCCCAGATGGGATTATAATTTTTTAAATAAATTCAGTATTTGTATATGTCTAAAACAACAACTTTTTAGTAGATGATTTACTGACAGATGATGACATCTGAAAACAAAGAAAAGTGTAGTTTTGCAAAACTGAATCCAATTTTGAGTTGTTTGTTTGGAATTTATAGTGCTGAAAATATTTAATAGAATCATTTTAAATTCCTTTTTTCAAGTTGCTTTTTCAATTGAGAATGCTGTAGGATTTTTAAAAATGCATTCCACAAAGAAAAATCTCAAAATAACTCATAGGTATTGGTCAGAACACTAACCCAAGCAAAGTTGTTTTTAGCTTGATTTACTTACGCAAACTTTTTATCCAAGCTGATCAATAAACCAATAAAATATGCAGACTGTGCATCATTTCTGTTTACCTGAAACATGGAAGTTTACGTATAGTTTAATTTAGAATCACACAATCAGGAAGTTCTTAAACAAAACATACATGTTAATGAGGCAGCCTAATCGAAACCTTATCTAGAGAGGAATTTCTGCAGAAATGTAGTACATTCTATATTATGTTCTTCCTAGAAATAAAAAAAAATGCACACAATTTAATAATTTGAACTTGTAAAGCAGGAGTCTTTTATTTGATGCATAGTCCTACAATCCTGACTGCCTACTTGGTTTTAAAGAATGTCTTCAACAATGTAACTACTGTAGGCATTTAACATTATGGAGAATGATTTAAGGTATTTGCTTTACAAATTCAAGTTATTAAATTGTGTATAAATTTTTCTTTTTTATATAAAAAAGAATAATCAGTTATATGTAAAATGAATCTATATGTCAAATATATATACAAAATATATATATGAAAAATAGTCACCCTGTGGGAGATGGTGGTGCATACCTGTAGTCCCAGCTACTTGGGAGGCTGAGGTGAGAGGATTGATATGTATAATATAAAATATATTATACATGTATTACATATATTTTCTATATATATTTTACATATATCATATATTTATTTCATGTTATTTAAGTATTTATTTTATATACATATTTTATGTATATATTACATATATATTATAATTTATATCTGTGTATGAGCCAGGAGGATATATCTGTTCTTCAAACTTGGGAGAACATGTGTATTCATGAACAAGGAAAGGAACCCCAAAATGTATTAATTTCATTATAATGTACCATTTCACTATATATAGATATATTTGATTTTCATATATATACATAATATATATATATAGTTGTGCAATATTAGAAAACATCTTGAGAGTTTCAAAGCAAGGTATATCCACAAAATGATGTTAAGTCAGAGTATACTCTAGTACCTTTATAAATCAAATGAATTTTTATTCTTTCAGTACTGTTCAACTTATTTTTTCCTGCTCTCTCTGTTACCTCCTCTCTGGCAATGAGGCCATGAAGAATTTTAATCAGAAAGATACTGAGCAAAGCACTCTTGGAAAAAATAAATTATACCTTCAGTGATAGGTATATCAATGGTATCACAATTTTGTTACAACCAAGAAAGATGATTATAATAAATAGTCAAACTCTGTTATATAGCTAACAATTTGGGCCATGTAAGCCAGATTTTTAAATTAAAAATTAAACTATATGATACACAAAGGGTCCAGGACTGACATATAACAACTAGTTAAGAATTATAATCTTTGCAAATCAAATTAGTGAACTCAAATTAGTGAATTCAAAGCCATCAAGTACTGATCTTCACAAAATCCAAGCTAAAAAATGGTTCTGAGACTGGGCACAGTGGCTCACGTCTGCAATCCTAGCAATTTGGGAGGCCAAGGCAGGCAGATCACTTAAGGTCAGGAGTTCAAGGTCAGCTTGGCCAACATGGTGAAACCCTGTCTCTACTAAAAATACAAAAATTAGCCAGGCATGGTGGTGTGCGCCTGTAGTCCCAGCTACTCAGAAGGCTGAGGCAGGAGAACTGCTTGAACCCAGTAGGTGGAGGTTGCAGTGAGCCGAGGTCACACCACTGCACTCCAGCCTGGGCGACAGAGCAAGACACTGTCTCAGAAAAAAAAAAAAAAAAAGATTCTGAGTTCTGCAATTCTGCACTAAATATTTAAACAATAGGGCATAACTTGTGTTATGACCTCCTCCTTCTCCTGCATTCCCATCTTTACCTTGACCTTTGGAGGTGCAAATTCAGCACATAATTAGAAATTCTACTAGGGGGTACCAATTGTAGACACTTTGTTTATCACATGTCACTGTTCCATCCTTAAATCAATGATGTTCTATGAAAAAATGCTCAACATCACAAATTATCAGAGAAATGTAAATCAAAATCACAATGTGACACCACTTTACTCCTGCAAGAATGGCTGTAATTAAAAAGTCAAAATATAATAGATGTTGGCATGGATGTGGTGAAAAGGAAACATTTTTACATTGTTGGTGGGCATGTAAGCTAGTACAACCACTATGCAAAACAGTATGGAGATTCCTTGAAGAACTAAAAGTAGAAACACAATTTGATCCAGCAATCCCACTACTGGGTATCTACCCAGAGGAAAATAAGTCATTATATGAAAAAGACACTTGCACACACGTTATAATATTGGCACAATTTGCAATTGCAAACATATGGAACCAGCCTAAATGCCCATCAGCCAATGAGTGGATAAAGAAAATGTGGTATAGACATACCATGGAATACTACTCAGCCATAAAAAGGAATGAAATAATGACATTTGCAGCAACCTGGATGGAACTGGAGACCATTATTCTAAGGGAAGTAACTCAGGAATGGAAAACCAAACATCTCATGTTCTCACTCATAAGTGGAAGCTAAGCTATGAGGATGCAAAGGCATAAGAATGATACAATGGACTTTGGGGATGCAGGGACAGGTAAGAAGGTTGTGAGGGATAAAAGACTACACATTCAGTACAGCGTATACTGCTCAGGTGACGGGTGTACCAAAATCTCAGAAATCACCACTAAAGAACTTTTCCATACAACCAAACAACACCTGTTCCCCAAAAACTATTAAAATTTTAAAAAATGATTGATGTCCTTACATATTTCCATAGAAACTTCTTTTCACTTTCACTTTGAATAGAAACAAGATCACCAAAATTCCTCTTGCAAAACGCTCGCGCATTGTCCATGGTTTCCTTCTCTTTGCTGAAATAATACTGGTAGTCTTTGTAAATAACCCACCCATCTTCAGTAACTGGTGGATCTGAAAAGTTAATGAGAAAAGGCAATGAGTTTTATGCAGACAAATTCAAGAATCTGGTGTGTACAGCACACAAAGGTGAAAGGGATAGAGCTGCTATATCAAGAGGCATCTGCAACTCTGAGAGACCAGAACAGCAGAATGTCCACGTCAAATACAGACATCTGAACCCCAGCCCAAATATCCACTTTCTACCAATCTGGTAAAAAGGACCCATTTTGTATTCCCAGCTATGTTCCATATGTCATTACTGGGTAAAAGAACTCCGGGTGTCACTTTCATCAATACAATAGCATAGCTGTGAGGATTTATGTATAATGCACCCATAATCTTCTACATCAAAGGAGTGGGAACTATGAGAAAGCAGCTTTCACCCCAGTATAAGAAAAAAAAAAAAGCAAAACTTCGAATAGATGCACTTGGGTGCTTCAGGGTAGAAGCAAGGAATTCACGTATCAAGTGGGCCCCTCAGGCTTTCTCCAACCCATGGAATTCCATACTTCCGTGCTACAGTAGGCTGAATAAAAGCTCCCAAAGGTATCTAGTTCCTAACCCCTGGAACCTATGAATGTTAGCTTACATGGAAAATGGGACTTTATAGACATGATTAAGTTAGGATCTTGAGATAGGAGGGTTATCTTGGATCATCTAGGTGAGCCCTAAATGTAGTAACAAGTATCCTTATGCAGAGGGGCGGAGGGAGATTTGACTACAAGAGAAGGAGGCAATGTGATCACTGGAAGAAGATGCTACATTGCTGGTTTTGAAGGAGGAATGGGTCATGAGCTGATGAGTTCATAGAATGTAGCTCTAGATGCTGGAAAAGGCAAGGAAAGAGAATCTCCCTCAGAGCCCCTAAAGGGAGCGTGGTCCTGCCAACATCTGGATTTTGGCCCAGTGAAATTGATTCCAGATTTCTGACTTCCAGAACTGTAAGGGAGTAACTGCATGTTATTTTAAGCCACCAAGTTCCTGGTAACTGGTTACAGCAGCCTGTGGACACTAATATATGTGCTAAAGAAGAAGGAACCTGGGACCTTGGAATTGATTCATGAACCCTTGAGAAACTGTATTAACATGCCTTATGTTTGGGCATATGAGCTTCTCTCTGGAGAGGAAGACCCAAATTTCCATGACGTTCTCACTCAAAGGTTATTAAGGACTTCTGCTCTCTACCTTCCTAGGGCAAGTAATTTTTTCATTGAGAAAGGAAAGAGGCGGAGAAAGGGTTATCAGTACAGAGATCAGAAAATAAGAAAACACCTACTGTCTTGAGGAGCTGGTGTTGGCTCAGGTTTTGGTGTTTGTCCTGTAAAACAAGAGAAAAATAGAAATAAAGTGTACTTAAACTTCTGCTAATTACATTTCCTTCTATTGTCACTATTTTCATGAGTCAATATTGCTAAAAACTTAGTTGTTCTCTTTTTTCCCTTCCCTTTCTTTCTCCTATTTGCACGTCATGTTGTGGAGGGCAGAATGAAGGAAAAGAGAATAAGAAGTGAAGAATTAAACAAATTAGGTGCAATAATAGCCAACAGAAATTACAACCACCACAGTTTTCAGGCACAAGTAGCATTATATAAAGGAAAAAAAAAAAGATCATGAGTTTTAGAATCAGAAAGCCTAGCTTCAAATCCCAAGCCTGGGTTTAAATCATTTAGCCTTAATTTTGTCAACTAAACCAAATAGATTAGTTTGTGAAAATATGTGAGTTATTGGTATGTAATAGGTGTTTAACAGCTGTTCATTTTCCAGACATCTTATAATCTGTGAAATGACTTATGATTTCATGATTTGAAACGATTAAATGTGAACTATTTATTTATAAAATAGAAAATGTATTTTCTTAAGAAAATCTATTTTTCTTAAATGTATGGCTTACTAAAAGTTAAATGAAATATTTTTCTTTCCAATTAGTTAATGATATATCTGGATTTTGTTGAAAGCTGATAAAGGGACTCAGGTTACCTAGCTTTTGGGTTAATGAATTTAACATCTACAAGAGTAGAGCTACGATAATGCAAAAAGGATACTAGCCATTGGTAGATAAGAGACCATTAAAGGACAACTGGCCACCACTGACTTCTTCTATTCTGGAAACTTTGAAAGCAATAATCTAAGCAGGAGGATGGAAAATAAACAGAGCAGTAAGTCATCTCCAGCCATAGAGTTGAAATGGTTGCCAAGATTCCCCAACAGCAGAGGGCAATGCAGTTCCATTTATCCATTTGCAACGGAGGTATTGATGTATATTTTGGTTCAAGGGTAGGTTTGTTTATTTGCTTGTTGGTGTGTTGGTTTCTCTTAACATTAGAACTCGGATCCTCTGGCCTGACTTGAATATGCAGAACTTTCTGAGTCCCAGATAATGGCTGTCAGCATGCGTATTGTTTGACCATCAATAACATGGTTTGGCTAATAGCATCAGAGGCCACAGATAATGGCTGTCAGCATGCGTATTGTTTGGCCATCAATAACATGGTGGGGCTAATAGCATCAGAGGCCACTCCAGGGTGATTGTTCACTGTGTGGAACATTTATCTGAGAAATCAATACTCAGAATATTCAGACTTGGGGAAATGTTCAACTATTTGATGATTAACGTAGGTCAGAAGGTGAAAATTCCAAAACAGAAGTTGCATTTGCATTATTCTGTTGACAGCATAGGACACTCACAAACTTCTACTGCTATGGAACCTGGGCCAGGATCAGAGCTGCTCGTGGGAACTATTTGGAAGGACGTGACTCTTGCCCAGAACTCCCAGGTGGCCTTTTGATCTTCTCTGTTCCTTTGGCACATTTATCTGTGCTTATCAACTTCATGCTTATCCTATGCAATGATGGCCACTGACAGTTTCCTGATTTTGTTATTTTGTTTGTTTGCTTCTGCTAATAAAGGAAAGATTCTGGGGTGTCAGGAGGTTAGTCTACCAAGCTGAGATAAAGGAGAGAAGAGGTGATCATACCTTTTTGTATCTGGCAAATCCAGTTGTTAAGGTGTTCACAATTAATATCATTCCAAGACATAGTAGGGTCACCTTTCAGCTCACCACAGTATTCAACATTTTGATAATTATTAGGTTCTCCATAAGCCCAGTTTTCATATGAAACCTATATTAGAAACATTAAACTACAACCATTAACCATTTGTATCAAGCCAATGCCAATCATTCATCCAAACAGAAAACGAAAGATATGTTTGCATTGTTTTATCAATTTACTTTTTTTTCACAATAGCTTTGCTTTGAAAGCACAGTTCACAAACGTAGTAGAAAAGAAACAGCTTTCATTACATGGAACCTTGTGATGTTGAATAACGTACACAATTGATTATTATAACATTTTCTTTACTCTTATTAAATAGAATGGATCCAAGGGCCACAAATGGGGATTTATATACAGGAAAAACTTGGCAACAAAGTTCCACTTCTCAGTGTTGGGAGTTCCTAAATTTACAACCCAATGGAAAGGATAATATTTCAGTGCGTTATTGGAAGTTTTCTCTTTATTAAATGTGTAGGATAAAGCAATACAATTTATTCTTCTTGCAAAAGAAAAAGACCCAGAAAATATTGCTAACAGCTACTAAACTTTGCCAAAATGAACAGTAGAAACAAACGGAGGCCCTGGGTCTAGGTCCTCTATGGAGTTTTCAGTGTGGAATCATAACCCACGGGGTTCTGGACTAAGCACGGTGATGTGTTTTCCAGAGATGTAAATATAAAACCCAAATGTCAATGAAGCCATCAAATAAACCACCTCACTCAAGTTCCTTGAAAAGTTGCTGGTGGAGGCAGAACTGAAATTAAGAGGTAGAACTGAAATTATACAAAATCACTTCTTGTGACGACTAGGGCTTCTAAATATTGCCAGCACGTGCCAGAATCTCTCACTTCTTCATTCCTGGAAATGGAGAAGTCTGACGAAGCCTAATCATTATTAGTGGGAATATCAAAAATGTTTCCATTTCTATTGATCTAAAAGAGGGTATAAAACACGCAAGTTTTAGGAAGTTTACCTGCACATCAATTTTGCATGGCAGGATAGTGGCTATCATAATGAACTGTCTTATTAAAAGTTTGCATTAAAAAAAAAGACAACATCAAAATAAATACACGATAAAGTAAGAAAGTTATATAGTAAGTAAAATTACTCACAGGAGAACCATCACTCCAAGTAAAACCTTCTGAAGGGCTTCCATATGTCAATCCCAACCAAAACAGTTTGTGGTAGCTTCCACTAGCTCTATGAAATCCAAAACATAAAGAAAGCATATGCTATTGCATGAAGCAAGTTCAGTAACTTATGAGGACTAACCACATTTGAAAGTTACCTCCAAAACGTAAATTAATAGTACACAAGTAAAGAGATTTAACAGCTAAATAGAAGACTTATGCAATAGATGTGCATTTTGGTATATCCCATAAATATCTTAAAAACAGACCACTGCCTGAGAGTAAATAATGGTATCGTATTGAAAGACAAATACGTATTAAGCATCTTGAACTTTTATAGACCAAGTCATAGCAGAATTTACACTTATAAAATTAAAGGATTTGAAAGCGAAACTAGATCAAACAGGGCCCACAGATTTGGGAGATGATACAGGTGCTCAAACTAGCATCCTGAGACAACAATTTCAGAAACAGACAAATTTTCTCAACTTCATAAGCACCAACTAGATAACAAAAAGGAGGAATCCATAAAAATACCACTTACGTTATTAATCGCCATATTGTTTGCTGTTCCTCTTTGTTATTGATGCTAGCTAAGTCTCCACCCAGAGCTCGACAAAAATCTCGAGATTCAAACCACGTTTTCTTCTCATGTTTTCCTTTTGCATACAGCTGAAGATGATATGGTTACAAAAATTATTTTATGCTTTGTAGTTTATCAAATTAAGAGAAACAAATATTTACTTTTGATGAGAGTTCATTTACAGAAAAACAAAACAGTGTAATGACTCAAAACAATGTAATTCTTTTGCTTTAAAATCAGTTTATGAGTGAATAGTTGGGTAACAAAACTTGGGGGATTCTTTTATTGAGAAAACCTTAGAAAATAAAATTATTTTATAGCACAAGAGAAATTAGATGAAAATCTTAGGAGCTTTAGGCATATGGGTTATGTATACAGCTCTTCGTGGAAGACAAGATTAATTTGGTTAAGTGTAAAAAGTGGCATTGAGATGGAAAGAAATGAAAGACACTTTTGATACAGATAAAGTAAACATGAAGAAGAAGAATTTGAAGGAAAATAACTTTTCTAAAATTGTGCACAGTTTGTTAGTGTGTTCAGCTTAAACAATGAATAACCTGGCAATGTTTCAATATTTTGTTGGTAATGTCCTTCAATACCGCCTTGTATTTTTCATTATGGTTGTACATCTTAACAACTACTGAAGCACATGCAAACACAGACAACCATCTGGCAGGGAGTTCTGAGCAAAATTAAATTTAAAAGATTATATGATTTAGGAATTGTGTCATAATATCCAGAGGACTGCAGAGAATAGTGAAATGCAGTCAACAGTGACGGTCTGGGACACACCCACCAGTATGCAAATAGAAAGGAGGTAATCGTGGCCATTGACTTTTCTAATTCTCATGCGTTACTCCTCATCATTCCCACATCACAGCCTTGTGGGAAAAAAAATTTGCTTCCAAGGCACTATGGTTGCCCAAGTTGTCATTAAGCAGCCGAAGACAACCTTCACCTTGACCCTAACTTGACTCAAGCTATGTGGACAAAGGTGTTTAAGTAAATATCCACATCAGTATATCCCAGACTCCTATGATGCCTCAACTTGCTAGACTGTGATATAAGATTTTATTTTCTTAACTAAATTTACTATCAGCTGAATTTCATTAATAAATCTCACATCTTAATCTTTATAAAGGTGGTCTATATATTTCCAAACAAACCCTACCCCAAGTACCTGTAAAACCACCTAATTTCTAGTCAAGCACATATTTTGATTTGTTGAACATCCACCCGAAAATTCTCCCTACTGAAGCCCCTGATACCCTTCTCTGCTCTGGGTAAAACTGCTGATTCTCTCAGAAAACTGCAATAAATCTCCATCGCCTAACATCCTCAGGCGAAGGCTAGGAATAAGATGAATCTGGCCTTTGTGTAGTAACTCAAAAGTTTCCAGAGGTAACAATAAAATACTTGATTTTCTTTGTGTTAGTCCTCAAATAATCCATTTACAAACCTCTTCTGTCTTAGCCCAATACATCGCCTTCTATGTAAATTATGTTATTAGATCTGATGGCCAATCTGGATTGAAGACTTCCTGTATTCCTATTTCTATTAGTGGGAGTGACCAGCTCAATTATCCATACTCCTCTTGAGTTAGAAGAGACTGCACAGCGTCATCCTGATGCAAATTCCTCACCAGTCTTGCCAAACTGTCTTACAGGGCATGTCATGGCCATATGCCATTCAAAGAGATTGAATAAAAGAAGTACAGAGAGCAGGACTATTAGAAAACAGTATCATTAAGCAGTAGGTAGGTAACAGGGTTTGACTCTGTGTCCCCACCCAAATCTCATCTCAAATTGTAATCCCCACATGTTGAAGGAGGGACCTGTAATCCCCACATTGAGGGAGGGAAGTGATTGGAGCATGAAGGCAGTTTCCCCCATGCTGTTCTTGTGAATGAGTTCTCAGAAGATCTGATGGTTTTATAAGTGGTAGCTTCTCCTACACTCTCAAATGCTCTTCTCTGTCCTGCCACCTTGTGAACAAGGTGCCTGCTTCCCCTTCCACCATGATTGTAATTTCCTGAGGCCTCCCCAGCCATGTGGAGCTGGGAGACAATTCAACCTCTTTCCTTTTTAAATTACCCAGTCTTGGGTAGTAACTTTATAGCAGTGTGAGAACAGACTAACACAGTAGGTACATTTCTGTATTTGGCTAAGGCTAATTTTCTCCAGAAAGGATGTGACTTATAAAAGAGAGAGTGTAAAAGACCATAATCCTTAATTCATTGGGGTTTTTGTTTGTTATTTTCTGGGTTTCTTTTTTTGTCTGTTTGTTTGCTTCAGTGAATTTGATTGCATAAGGAGAAAATGAATGGCCTAAACTATGAATGTATTAAATAGTGGTAGAATATTGAATTGTCATTTAATGGGCACTGAAAAGCCATGTGCCCCAACCTATCATTTCCTTTCCTCACCCATCATTATAATCATCGGGGTTACATCAGAAAAAGGGAGGACTCTCTTTAGAATACTTATGTGGCATTACTGTAGAATACTTTATCAATTTTGTTAGCTAAAACTTGGGCTCTAAGAGCATGGGAAAAAAATGAATTGGAATACAACAGCGTGACAGGAAACAGAAATTTCTATCAAGACGAAAAGAGGCTGGGTGCACTGGCTCATGCCTATAATTCCAGAGCTTTTGGAGTCTATGTGGGAGGATCAATTGACACGAGGAGTTTGAGACTAGCCTGGGCAACATAGTGAGACCCCATCTTTACATAAAATAAGATTTTAAAAATTAGCTAGGCATGGTGGTGCATATCTGTAGCTACTTGGGAGGCTTAGGTGGGAGGAGCACTTGAGCCCAGATGTTTGAGGCTGCAGTGAGCCATGACTGTATTACTGTATTCCAGCCTAGATGACAGAGCACGACCCCACTGGAGAAAGAAAGAGAAGGAGAGAGAGAGAAAAGAAGAAGAAGAAGGAGAAGAAGGAGAAGAAGAAGAAGAAGAAGAAGGAGAAGGAGAAGAAGAAGAGGAGGAGGAGGAAGAAGAAGAAGAAGGAAGGAGGAAGAAGGAAGAAGGAACGAAGAAAGAAGGAAGAAGAAGAGGAGGAGGAGGAAGGGGAAAGGGGGAAGGGGGAGAGAGGAGGGAGGATGGAGGAAGGAGGAGGGAGGGAAGACAGGAGGAAGGGAGAAAAGATGGAAAGGAGGAAGGAAGGAACAGAGGAAGGGAGGGAGGAAAGGAGGAAGGGAGGAAGGGAGGGTAAGGGGGTAAGGAAGGGAAGGAGGAAGAGGGCAAGGGGGGAATGGAGGGAGGCAGATCTAGAAGGCCTGGGAGAAAGGAGAGAAGCAGAGAGGAGGTGATAGCGGCAGAGCAGGTGAGAAAAAACTTCTGTGAGTTGTGTTTATGTTGTTGGTTGTATTTGTGGGTCTAAATACATCTACCCAAGGAGCTCTTAAACAATTGATCCCCGGGTTAATCAAATCAGAATTTCTAAATACCTATGGTAGAGTCTGGGCAGAGTGTTTTGGTTTTTGTTTGTTTTCTATGTCCTTAGATGATTCTTTAGGCTGAAGCATACTCCAGATTCTCTTACCAGCTTTATAACTGATACTCACCTTGAAACACAAGCTTGTTCTACTGCTGGCGCCCCAATCCTCCGGACATTTGGGTTCGGGAGTCGTCGTGGGCTTCGGTGGGTGGGTTACTCCTTCTGCCCAGTGCTTGCACACAAATTTTGCCTTTTCATCACATTTCAAAACATCCCATAAGCCCCCTGCAATCCCGGTTCTCATGGCAACACACCCTGGCTTTCGCCCTGCATTAAATATATGAAGTAGAATTCACTTGACAGGTGCCTGCTGAAGGCCTGCCGTGCTCACAGAAGGCACTCAGAACCGAGCATCAGGGTTCTGATGCCCAATTATGATCTCAGATGCAGGGGGGTTTGTAACACTTTATATTTCTAACATTTGGCAAAGTGCCCCCTACACAGGCATTTAATGATAAAATATTTTATATTATCAAATTCACCATAATGGCAAAAATAGTTTACTGCTTCTCTCTCCCTCCCTCCTTCCTTCCCTTTTTCCTTCCTTCTTCCCTTCCTCCCCTTTCTGGTTTTCTCTGCTTTCTTTCTTTTTTAATTTTTTAAGATTCTTTTCCTCCCACTAAGGTCTACGTAGGTTTTCCAGGACCAAAGTTTTTCACAGATTTCAAAATGAGACACGTCTCAACTAGAGATTTTAGGTAAGTTACTCAAACGCTCTGAACTTGCTTTCTCCTCTCCAAATGCAAATACCAAGACCTGCCTCATAGAACTGTAAGGAATGCCAGCTTTAACGAACAAAGAAGTACATAAAATAAAATGAGGATGCACTGAGCTTAATTTATAATTCTGTCTTACAGTCAAGGTTATTTCCAAATAGCAATTAACTAAGATAGAGCTTTGGAAGTATCAGGATTCTTTGCTGCTACAATGAAGTAATTTTTTTATTATTAGACTTTTAAAGAACATGAAGTGCTTAGAAGTCATTCATGAAGTTCTGGGGAGGTACACCTTTTTTAGAATATTTTCTCTGAAATCTCTGATTCCCTGACACCTCAAGGGTTTTCCCTGATTCCTAAGATTGTCTCCTTCTCTTTGTAGCACTGAGTTAAAACCTGCTAACTGTGGAATAGATGACTACAGAGGCTGCGGCATCCCATTAACCATCAGAATCAATTCAGTTGACCTGATGCTCAGGCCCGAGCCCCAGGCTCCTTGCCCACTCCTCCTGCAGCTGTAAACTCAGCCAAAGAGGGCAGCCACCGTCCTTCCATCAAGGATATACCATGACAATGGTTGCAACTGAGTTCTGTTCCACTTCCATCCATTGTTAGTCCCTAAGGACATTCCAGGGTTAACTCCTCAGAATCCTGCTGCTGGATGACACCACAGGCAAAGTTCAGCAGCTTCACTTACAGAGTAAGACTTATCACTACTGCCAAGATGTGTTTTTAAAGTATGCACTCAGCTTTTATTACACCATCCTGTTACTTTTTAAATCAACTGAAATCTTGCTATGTTTCAGAAAGTTCAATAATTCCATAAACAAAAATCACACTATTTAGGTTACTGATCTATTTCCCTTATTGAAAGGTGAGAATGCAAATTACAGAACACTGAAGATTAGGACATATTAGGTCAGGTAGTAAATTGATAGACTCGAGCTATTATTTTTTAGCTTTTCACCCAAGCACAATGAAATATTTGCTATAAGGGATGTTGAAATTTCTCTGTGTGTTGTCATATTAAACAATGTTGTGTGCTAGTGATATCACTGTATAAAAAGTCAAAGAATCTTTCCGAGACTATTTCAGAAACAACTTACAACATCTTACTAGGGAGGGTAAATCAAAATATATAGAGAGGCAGGCAGGGTGGTGCGAGTGTAAGTAGCACAGATTTGGGGATGACACAGATTAGTCTAAATCCATGCTTGGAAGCTTTCTAGTCACATAAACTTCCTGAGTCTCAGTTTCCACTGCTTTTTTTTTTTTTTTTTTTTTTGATGGAGTTTTGTTCTTGTCACCCAGGCTGGAGTGCAATGGCACAATCTCGACTCACTGCAACCTCTGCCTTCCAGGTTCAAGCAATTCTCCTGCCTCAGCCTCCCAAGTAGCTGGGATGACAGGCACGCACCACTGCACTTGGCTAATTTTTGTATTTTTAGTAGAGATGGGGTTTCCCTATGTTGGCCAGGCTAGTCTCGAACTACTGACCTCAGGTGATCTGCCCGCCTCTGCCTCCCAAAGTGTTGAGATTACAGGCATGAGCCACCGCGGCCGACCTCCACTTCTTTTAAATGAAGATACTGAAGCTTACCTGGCAAGGTTTTTATGATGACAAAATAAAATCCAAGGCAAATAAAAGACTAAACATGGTAGCACATGGAAGATATGGAAATAATGAGTTCCGCATGAGCAATGTCCTTTGCTGCCCCACCCAACCACTCTAATATTTCAACTCCTAATTGCACTGAAAAGCTTTATGTCCATTTAATATAGTTTTAGGTTTTCAGAAATAAGTCAAACAGGACATGCGCAGTGGCTCATGCCTGTAACCCCGGCACTTTGGGAGGCCAAGGCAGGCAGATCACTTGAGGCGAGGAGTTCGAGACCAGCCTGGCCAACATGGTGAAACCCCATCTCTACTAAAAACACAAAAATTAACCAGGCGTGCTGGTACATGCCTGTGGTCCCAGCTACTCAGGAGGCTGAGGCACGATAATTGTTTGAACCCAGAAGGTTGAGGTTGCAGTGAGCCAAGATGGCGCCACTGCACTCCAGCCTGGGCAACCGAGTGAGGCTCTGTCTCAAAAAAAAGAAAGAAAGAAAGAGTCAACCATTTGAAACCTTTGCGACCACTGAGAATTTCATGAATAGGTTTTAAGTAGACCAGGACCAGATAACCCAGCAATATAACCTAGCAATTTTTTTCTTCCTTTTTTCTTTAGAACACTAAACCTATTGGGAAACTTTTAGAAAAGAAAAAAAGGAAGAAAAGAAAAAACGAAAAGAGAATGAAATATAAATTGTTACTAAAAGCATGACTAATTTACCTAGTCTATTTGCAGAGATACCCGGAGGAATAACAGACTTTATCTAACAGATTCGTAGGGTGAAAGCAACCCTCAACCTAAGCGCTGCCCGTACCTGGCATATCTGAATTCCAGTGGGTGAACCGAACCTCTTCCTCGATGGTCCACTGAAAAGTCCCTTTGGTTTGTATATCTGAAAGTCCTGTCCAGAAATATTTTTCAGGCCTTAAGCCAACGAAACTAGTCAGGAAGGCTTGTTCATATCTTTAAAAAGAAGAATTAACATTCAATTAAGTTTTTGAAACATTTATGCCAATTTTCAAAATTATCAACGTGGAAACTATCTCAGTCCTATGTTTGAGCTATAACTGAACTGGTAATTCAAATATATTGTGTTATATTTGTATGTCATCTACATTATACACATTGTCACCAAGGAAATGTGAGCTTATGATGGAAAAATACCATATAGCTGAGTATATAAAATCATTCGGAGATACTCAAACCATCTCCCTCTAGCCCTCACCAGCCCCTCTGCCTATTCTCAAAATGTCAGAGAATTTTGAGAATACAAAGAAGAAAACTAATGCATTTTAAAATACAATGTTTTAAAAAATCAGTCCACTCTTCAAATAGTTCTACTCAATTCTTGGTTAAGCAAGTTCAAGGTTAATAACATTATCAAGGATAATACTCATGGAATAATCTGCATGAATTTCCCCCCTCAATTTTATTCTCTCATATTTCAGCTCTGAAACAAAAGAGAAAATTATCAAGAAATACAGAGAAGCAGAGACTCAATCTCCAGAATGAATGAGAAGCAGAATCATGAATTCCAACACTTTCTCTCCCTTAGGATTCTTGTCTATTTGGCATTAATCTGGGAACAATAAAATTCAGTTGACAAGGCACTGAAAACTTGTCTAAAATGACAAATAAAACAATGGAAGCAGCAACATAGGAAAAAGTCTGTCTTTTGAGAAAAAGAAAAATGGTGTCCGAAGTTTCCAGAAACGGAGAGAGTTGTAGATGACTTCAGAGAGAGCAGGAAGAGAATATAGAGAAACCTAACAGCAATACAACATTTTATTTGACCATAGTCTAAATAATTTCATTCCCTAAACAAAACAAACCAAAAAAATTAAAAGTTCCAAACTCGATTTAGTTGCCTTAAATGTCTCTAAACCATATTTAACAACAGTTAGTGAACTCCTGAGTATAAATATTACAGAAGATACACAAGGAAAAATAAATATAAAATATAGTGAAATCATGCACATCTGGATGTACAAATGTCCAAATGTAGATGCACAAATGTCCAATAGACCAAAAGATCAATTATAGTGCAGACCAGAATATGATCTCATGGTACTTAAAGGTGAGCAGTTTACCTCCCTCACAGAAGATAAAAAGTACCTACGTTCTGAGTTTCAGATGTTAGCATTGTATTAGGGTGCTACTACCATATATTAGACATTTAAATATATATGAAAGCAGCATGTGGATAGAAATACAGTTCTTTTATAAAGACTATGAAATGTTATGACATCTCTCATTTTTATCCAAAGATTTTTTAATATCAACAGTATCCCTTACATTTTATTCGGTCTGCCTCGAAAGTCCAGTAAATATAACTTATTGTACTAAAACTCCATAATTTTGTTACTTCTTTACTGCAAGTGAAATAGATACTTTTCCATTTTTGTAAACTTTCTTCTGTGGCTAATCCAGAGCTTTGCATAGAGTAGGTGAAAAGTAAACGAATAAATCTTAAAAATAGATAGGACCCTAGAGATAAAAAATTACATAAGCTCCTCTATGTCCATGTGATTTTCCTGACCTATGAGTCTGTTAACATAGCAAAGCAAAGCAAAGAATGGAAGACTGGAAAGAATGAATGAATTATTCAGTAAACTTCTTTGCCTTCTTTTTTGGTGGAGAGAGTGGTAAAGATATAACGTGATTTTGAGCCGGCAACTTTTAGTTACTTTCCTGCTTTAAAAAATTCAACGTCGAATGGATCATTAAAAAGTTAGCTCCATAAACTACATTTACTAGATTATTATTTATAAACTGTTCTGAATGTTGCTTTATACTACTAAATTTAGCAAAAACGGTTTGTAATGTTTGCAATGAAGAATCCAAATAAGAATATTATTTTTAATGCTTCTATCTTTACAAATCATACCTCAAGATCACACATACTCAGAAATTTAGAGCATGTTGATACTTGGGCTTTTCTGAAACTTTTTTCTATTTGACATATTTTAAAATGAAATTAAAATAGTTACATACCTGTCTTCAATAGTTGTTAAATAAGCATTCTCATTATTACAGGTTTGGTTTGCTTCTGCAAATGTTGAAAGCGTATGTCCAATCATATAGCAGTAAAAGTGATGTTTTTTCCAGCCCTATTAATGTTATCAAGCAGTGAATAAATGAGCAGAGTTCATGCATATATATTATAAAATATTATTATTATTTGAGATGCAGTTTTGCTCTTGTCGCCCAGGCTGGAGTACAATGGCGCAATCTTGGCTCACTGCAACCTCCGCCTGCCAGGTTCAAGCAATTCTCCTGCCTCAGTCTCCAGAGTAGCTGGAATTACAGGCACGTGCCACCACACCCGGCCAAATTTTTCTGTCTTTTTAGTAGAGATGGGGTTTCACCATGCTGGCCAGGCTGGTCTCAAACTCCTGACCTCAAGTGATCTACCCGCCTTGGCCTCCCAAAGTGCTGGGATTATAGGCGTGAGCCACTGTGCCCAGCCTTAGAAAATAATATTTTAATACTTTTTCTATCATGAAACTATTGGATAAACAATAGGAATGTCTAAAGAACACAACTCTGAAGAATCTGAAATGCAATGAAAATTATACACATAAACGAATAAAAGAAACAGTAGTACATCATTCCTCCTATGACAAATATGCAAATAAATGGGGGCAGCCATTCTCTCCACTTATAATGTATCTTGCAACGAAAACTATTTGTGAAACGTTTACTGAGGAAACTGAACAGAACGGCTAAGATACCAGTTTTAGAATAGGTAACCACAGGAAAGAATTTGGGGAAGAGCAAACCTAGTTGCCTATGGAAGACAATACTAGAAGGTGGGTATAAAGCTACATCATTTGGTCATAGGAGAGCACTTTTCAAACTTCAGGCAGTATGATTCAGCATTGTTCCTCCTTCTCCCATACTCCAAATACACAGAAATGGCCAGGCACAGTGGCATATGCCTGTAACGCCAGCACTTTGGGAGTCGAAGTTGGGAGGATGACTTGAGCCCAGGAGTTCAAGACCAGCCTGGGCAACATAGTGAGTCCCTATCTTTACAGAAAATTTTATAAAATTAGCTAGGCATGATGGCATGTGCCTGTAGTCCCAGCTACTCGGGAGGCTGAGGCAGGAGGATTGACTGAGCCAAGGAGGTGGAGGCTACAGTGAGCCATGATCAATCACACCACTACACTCGAGCCTGAGTGACAAAGTGAGACTCTGTCTCAGAAAAAAAAAAAAACAGAAATGCTAAATAAAAACATAACAATAAATGAAAAATCCATGCTAGAGTTTGAGAAGAAGAAGGGGGAAAACTCCAGGTACCCGAATTTAGTAGAATACTAAAAGCTGAATGGAAAATGCACAAATTAAATTGTTGTTGGCCAAGGACATATGAGATCCTAGATTAAGATCCTAAAGGCTGTGGTATTAATGTCCATACAGAATATGGTATTTGGCCTTTGTCTCACTTGAGGCAGGGAGTTGGAACCGAGGTCCTTGTATAAAAATGATACCAGTAACCCCGGTAACCCCTTGGTTAAAGGAGAACTAGAACATTCTGCCCACAGAAGCAGGAAATGACAGTGTCTTGTCATCTACCTGGGGTTCTGAGTACCGGAAAAAAACAATTCCTGAGTTTGAAAACAAATACCAAGTTTGTGCTGCAGATGAGTGACAGTTCCAAGTTTATGCTATCCACATTGTATGGGAACCCACAGCCAAAAAATTAAAGTCATACTTAATCTGTAAAAGGAGAATCTCTAAAGCACTCCAAGAAGTAGAATGCAAAACCACACATCAGAAATACGCCCACCAACCAGGTCAAGAGAGACTGTGACATTTGGGGAGATGGGTGGGGATGGAGAGGTCACTAAATCACAACCAAAAGCAATAAACCAGCCAGGCGCAGTGGCTCCCACCTGTAACCCCAACACTTTGGAAGGACGAAGCAGGTGGGTCACTTGAGGTCAGGAGTTCAAGACCACCTTGACCAACGTGGTGAAACCCCGTCTTGACTGAAAATGCAAAAATTAGCTGGGCGTGACGGCAGGCACCTGTAGTCCCAGCTACTTGGGAGGCTGAAGCAGGAGAATTGTGTGAACCCATGTGGTAGAGGTTGCGCTGAGCCGAGATCATGCCACTGCATGCCAGCCTGGGCAACATAGCAAGACTCCTTCTCAAAAACAACAACAACAACAAGCCATATGAGAAAATGTCCCATTTTAAGGAAGAGTCAACAACTGAACATAATAAAACAGAAAGCTCTTATTAAAAAAACAGCATGTTTGAGATGACTTGGTAACAAAAGAATAAATCCAATAACAAAAGATCAAAATAGTATGCACAAAGAAAAGGAGGATGTGAACCCCAAAGTACGGAATGTCTATAAAAGAAAACCATAGCAATGAAGTTAAAAACTCAATGGTCAGATTAAATATAGTAATCAGGGTTTCATAGGAAATTAGTCAATTGGATGAAAAGATAAAAAGCAAGACAGAAAAGATAGCATAGGAAGAGATGAAGATACGAAAAGAGGTTAAAAAACATGTTGACAGAAAGCATAGACAATAGAATGAGAAGGTTGAACAACCGCCTATAATAAGTTTCAGAAGTTTCAGAAGCAGCGAATAAAACTAATGATGGGTCACTTTCAAGAACTGAAAGATGGCTGTGAAACCTCAAAGAATCACTCTGGGCCTGGCACGATGGCTCATGCCTGTGATGGCTCATGCCTGGCACAATGGCTCATGCCTGTAATCCCAGCACTTTGGGAGGCCAAGGCGGATGGATCATGAGGTCAGGAGTTCAAGATCAGCCTGGCCAATATGGTAAAACTCCATCTCTACCAAAAATACAAAAATTAGCCAGGCATGGTAGCTTGTGCCTATAGTCCCAGCTACTCAGGAGGCTGAAGCAGAAGAATTACTTGAGCCCGGGAGGCGGAGGTTGCAGTGAGCTAATATCATGCCACTGCACTCCAGCCTGGGCAACAGAGCAAGACTTCATTTCAAAAAAAAAGAATCACACCAGGGAGCAAAGTCAACAAATAAAATAATTCCAGATCTAGGCACATGTAGTAGAATGCTACACTGCAGCATTCCACTAGGTACTCGGCATTCACCCAGGCACTGCAGAATGCCAAAGACAAGGAGAAGATTTTAAAATCAATCAGAGAGAACCACCAGCATATCCACTTCAAAACTGAAGAAGAATTAGTGTGACAGCAGGAATTCCAGTACCAAAAATAAGGCCACGAGAAAGTATAATAAAATAATATATAAACCGCTGTCAGAAAACAACCATCAATCCAGAATTCTAAACTGACCTAGCTAAACTATTATTCAGGGTGAGGATGAATTTAAGACATTCTCAGACAATTTGGTGGCTGATGAATGGTTTCATTTCTGTCTTTTTCTGTAAACATTTTAAAACACATTTTATTTTAATGTCATATCTATAAATTTTCCCCATATGAAGATCCTGGTGGTATATCTTATAATTTGGGGTTTCAGTCTCACCTGTGGGGTTGCCACAGCTTGAATAATGAGACTTCTTTATAATGAGGATTTACATTTATATATGTCAGGAATCCTGGACTATTAGAAACCTGTGGCCACTTTAGGTTGATTTCTTGGTTTAGGGTTTCCCACACTGATAGCATTGAATTGAAAATTAAATCCCAGGTCTGTGCAACAACAACAAGCCTGTGATTTCTGAATTCTTAGAAAGACCCCTCAACACCACTGTATGCCAAAGCCCAGGCAGAAAAAAATTGCATTATTATCTTCCTTTGTTGATGAGTGGATTTTTTCTTTCCTAGTCTTCCCAGCCCGGTAAGGAAAGCACTGCCTCAAACAGGTGTTTTTAAAGTGGTCAAGTTGTTTAAACTCTTTGTGTTTCAGTTTCCTCTTCTTTTTAATCAGGACTATAATATTCACCCTGTAAATCTATTAGAATGCAATAATTGTACTTCATAAGGGACTGCTATTATTTTATTTTTATTATCATCCTAATGATTAAACAGGATTATTATCAAGATTTTAGATGTGTAGGAAAATAGAAAAAAATAAAACAGATTGATTAAAAGCAATAAAAATGTAAGGTTTGTTATTTTAGAAAATGACAGTAATATACAAGCTTGTGTAAACATATGATCAGGCAAAGAATATGAACGTATGCTGGAACTGAAACAAAGGATAGTTGTTTAGGGACAGGAGACCTGGGTTCTACCCTTGCCTCTGTTTCTATCAGAAAGCTACGTTGCTTCTCTGAACTGAAGTTTCCAGAATTCAAAACTTAGAAGAGGAACTGTGAAATCACCCAGGTCCTTTGTGACTCTTCCATGCTATGATTTTCCATTATCTGCTCTATTTCTTTATGGTTTATTTTTATAGTACCAAATTATCAGCTTTCTGGTACGTGTTATAAGATTATGTGACCACAACATAATACTCTTAGGGAAAAAAATAGTTTCTACTTCATTTTTATTCAAAGAAAATGAGAAAGTAGAAAAGAAGATGTAGCAATCAAACAGGAAAATGATAACCATAAACCCTGTGTTTTCATAGCTTCTGTGTGCTTTAAAAAACTATTTCACAGGGACCACTGAGTTACCGTGGGTACCAGTTGGAGGCTGGATTTCCTACCTCCCGACTGCGGTGACCTACTGAGAAGAATCCTCTCCAGGAGATGCCTCATCAGAAAGATTATAAATGGGAAAAAAATGACTAAGGATCATTTGCTATCAGCAACTTGGGGGTATCTACTGCAAATGTTCTTAACAACCCATAGGATGACAGACTATAGTAGACTGTCACCTTCTACTATAGAAGGTGGATGACACCTTCTCCCGTGGCCTGCCCTCAACTTAGCCAGATTCCCTCTGATGTGCCATTTTTAGTTCCTGTTCTCTCTCTTCCAATTCCCATGACATTCTGAAAGGAGCTACCGGCCTTGTGTACCTCTGTATTAACTATAGAGAATTCCCCAAGAAAACTTTAAGGAGAACAGTGAGATCAACACTAACAATAAACTATTGAAGACTGAGACAGCAGAAACCCTTGGCTACTGCAATAACAAGGCACTTTCACACATAAAAATAAAGCCAACGGTATCAACTCATACGTGCTCAGCTTAAGTCACTGTGGGCATGGTGCACTCACTTTCCTGCAGCCTTTTTCGACTTCCACTATTTCTGGACCTTGGCTTCGTGATTTCATCTTGCAGATGTAGCCAAGAGGCCACTCACAGCCCCGATCTGCCCAGTACCCATCCTGCAGGGAGCAGAGAGAGAGAAAAAAATAAAGGATTATCAGTTTGGGGACCTTTTTTTTTTTTTTTTTTTTGAGACAGTGTCTCACTCTGTCCCCCAGGCTGGAGTGCAGTGGCGCGATCTTGGCTCATGGCAACCTCTGCCTCCCAGGTTCAAGTGATTCTCCTGCCTCAGCCCCCCTAGTAGCTAGGATTACAGGAACCCACCACCAAGCTCTGCTAATTTTTTGTATTTTTAGTAGAGATGGGGTTTCACCATGTTGGCCAGGCTGGTCTTGAACTCCTGACCTCAGGCGATCCACCCACCTTGGCCTCCCAAAGTGCTGGGATTACAGGCATGAGCCACTGCGCCCGGCCAATTTTGGACTTTGATGTTATTTTCTTGTAACTGTGCCTCAGAGGAGGAAAATTAAGATCCAAGGTTATTGAGAGAAAACGGCATCTACTGAAAGGAAAGGTAATTGACATGTTCATATGTAAACAGTAATTTTGACTCTAGCTACAAACATGTAAAAAGTGATTGGAGCCGCAATATGATTTTATATCTGAGATGTCCAAGCCATTGTTTAGAGGAATCCAGGGAGAAATTAAAAATGTCTGTAAGTCCTTGGATGACGGTGCTCGCAAGAGGTTTGCATGCAGCCTCTTTTTTTTTTTTTTTTTTTTTTTTTTGAGACGGAGTCTCGCTCTGTTGCCCAGGCTGGAGTGCAGTGGCTCTGATCTTGGCTCACTGCAAGCTCCACCTCCCAGGTTCACACCATTTTCCTGCCTCAGCCTCCTGAGTAGCTGGGACTACAGGCGCCTGCCACCACGCCCTGCTAATTTTTTATATTTTTAGTAGAGACGGGGTTTCACCGTGTTAGCCAGGATGGTCTCGATCTCCCGACCTCATGATCCGCCTGCCTCGGCCTCCCAAAGTGCTGGGATCACAGGCGTGAGCCACTGGGCCCGGCCGCATGCAGCGTCTTCATCAATCCCTGCAGTCAGCTCTGTCTTCAAATTAATCAAGTTCATATACGCCATCCAGAAAAATCTCCTGCACCCAACACACCAACTTGAAAGCATCATGAAACCACAGTCATCTTTTCTGCCTTCTTCCTATTTCTACTGATGAGTGCTCCCCTGGATCTGAGGCTCAACCTTCCACTTTATTTCAGATTCTATCCCCTCTCTTTTCCTTTGAGATTTCATGTTAAAAGGACCTCTCCTTTCCTTCCCTTCGCTGCTAAACATCTTGAAAAAAATGTTTTCTGGGCCAAGCGCGGCGGCTCACGCCTATAATCCCAGCACTTTGGGAGGCCAAGGCGGGTGGATCACCTGAGGTCAGGAGTTCAAGACTAGCCGGGCCAACATGGTGAAACCCTGTCTCTACTAATAATACAAAAAAGTTAGCTGGATGTGGTGGTGCACGCTTGTAATCTCAGCTACTCGGGAGGCTGAGGCAGGAGAATCGCTTGAACTCTCGAGGCAGAGGTTGCATTGAGCCAAGATTGTGCCATTGCACTCCAGCCTGGGCAGCAAGAGCAAAACTCTGTCTCAATAAATAAATAAATAAATAAAATGTTTTCTGTATTGTCTGTCTTTAACTCCTCATATCCTAGTTGGTCTCAGCCCAGTGCAATCTGACACGTAAGCCTTTAGCCAGAGTAACATTTATAAATTGCCACTTTGGTTTTACCCCTCCGAGACAACTCATGTTTCTTGAACCTCAGTTCCTACCCACCCTTCCGGCTCTGACTTCATGATTTCAACCACACTGACCTTTCACCTCCTCCAAGCATGCTGCTTTCTGGTTTCTTCTGTCTACTCTTTGGATAGTTAACACCTAATATGTTCTTAAACTTTCAATCCATCACAATAAAAACAACCACAATGACAAAAATAACAGCCACAGTGACAAAAATAAACAACCACAATGACAAAAATTATTGAACAATAAATATGGGCTGGGAACTGTGTACCACACATGCATTATTTAATACTCATATCCTGGGCCTGGCACAGTGGCTCACGCCTGTAACCTCAACACTTTGGGAGGCTGAGGCAGGCAGATCGCTTGAGCTTAGGAGTTCAAGACTAGCTTGGGCAACATGGCAAAACTCCATCTGTACCAAAAATACAAAAAATTAGCCAGGCGTGGTGGCACGCACCTTTAGTCACAGCTATTTGGGAGGCCTGAACCCAGGAGGTCAAGACTGCAATGAGCTGAGATTGCACCACTGCACTGCAGCCTGGGTGACAGAGCAAGACTCTGTCTTAAAAAACAAACAAACAAACAACAACAACAACAAAAAAAAAAACCTCATATCCACAGGTGAGCTAAGTACAGCTCTTATTCCCATTTTGCAAATAAAGGAGTCAGTCACACAGCAAAACTCAGCCTCTTAATCACTGTGTTTACCATCTATTAATAAAAGATAAATTTGATAACATTTTTCAATCACTGAGGTCATATTTCAATCATAAAAGCAATCATTTCATATGACAGCTCCATGTAAACTGAAAAAAATGAATGTAGCTCCCCAAGTACAGCTTCCAGACCTAATCCACCGTAGCTGTAAGTAGATCTGCATCTACTTGGTGTATATATATCTCTCACATATATACGGGGCTACAATCTCTTTTTACATATATATATATATACACACACACACACACACACACACACACATACATATATATCTCTTTTTACATCTCTTGTAATCATATATATGGCTTATAATAACTTTTTATATATACATGCATAATCATATATATGGCTTAATTGGTCAGATGAGAGCTTTGGTGGATATATATATACACCATTATAATATGGCACTATATATATGGCCATGTACATATATAGTGCCATAGAAACAATATGAGTATTCATTACAGGCGAATTTCATCCTTGACCCAAAAGTTTCTGTCCATTGCTTCAGTGATCCTCTTGAAAATTTGACTTTGCTAGACAGTTGAGAGGGATTCAAGAAATCAAATCTGAATTTTGGTTCACCTTTGATCCATGCCAATTTATGTAGAATAAAAACAATCTAAACAAACATATGTAACTGACTGGGACAGAAGGAAAAATCCCCCGTGACTTTCATTATAAATATCAGTCATTCAAGTGGCCTTACCTTGCCTTTCATCACCACACAATCCTCCTGTCTGTTGTTTTCATGGCTTGGTTCTCCACGAAGCCATTTGGTAAACGTTACAGGGGTCCCATCACTCCACTCAAAGTACATTTGAATCTTAATGTCATTTAAGCCGATCCACAATTCGTCATTTGGCTCTAAACAGGAAGAAACACACAGTGGTATATACAAGGGTTGCTTTCCAAAGGTCGGGGGGTAAAAGGAACGGAAGGCACTCTGCTTTATCAACAGGGCTCTACCTCCCTTGATATGATCACCATCATGAAAGATAGTCCTCATGAGTGCTCATCTGACCTACATGCTGTCGACTTAGATGCCAACTACATTTTACCTTGTTAGTTTTAGGCTGTGTAGTGTACCCTTTACATTGTGAATATGACTGTATTCTTTAGTGGAAATATTGTAGATTGTATCTCCTGGCAGTTACAAAAACAAAATTGAGGTAGGTCTATTACTATGCTCTATCTTATGAAGCTGCTTTTATTGTTGCAAATAATTTACCATGCCAACTGCACTCATGTTATTGATGGTAGCCTATTTATATACATCTGTTTGACTATGATTAAATTGATGAATGTTTTCAAATAACAAAAATTTTAAACTGCTTCTATTTTACTGACTCTTGTTATCAAGAACATTCTAGATACTTCCGTTAAAGATCAATCACTGTACTGGGAGTGAAAATTATCTATATAGTGAAAGAATTATAAACCAAGAGGTGAGACTTGCACCTGACATTTGGTACCTATCTATTATGCTGTATATACAAATGAATCTGTAATCATTTTCATCATGAAATGCCAGGAAATTCCAGCAAAACTTAAATAACAAATGAGGGTAAAACGAAAACAACCAATATAGATTTAAAACATGATCATTTTGTTTTGAAATTCTATGGAGAACATTATTGATTTTATAAGTAGGTGCCATGCTAAAAATTCCTAAATATCACAACAAAAATGGGATAAAGTTAAAGTCAATGAAGGTTTAAGATGTCATGGCTAAAAAATAAACTTGTCTAAATTAAAAAAAGTTAAAGAATACACAAATCAATATCTATCTAATTCACACGACTGGGAGTCCCATCATGAATGCTTGATGTATGATCATTTAGTGGTATAATAAAATTAGTTGCCAAAGTATTGTAAAGATGATGTTGTGGTAGAAAATGAGGAAAACATCACAATGTATAAGATTCTCCCTAAGCGGTTTAGTCTCTTCCTCCTGAAAGTTGTCATTCAACTTTGCTTTTGGAGAAGTCTCTAGCTGGCCTGGCGCCAGCACTGGCAGATGTTTCCAGTGCCGTGGAGAATGAATGACACTGCCAGGATGATCCTCTTCTCCTTTCACTTGATTTGCAGATCGTGATCTTTTCAGCAACAAATGCAGGCTTCAAAGTGACCTCATGTACCCCTCAAAGATTTAAATTGAAGATCAAAGAAAAACTAACCTCCTAAGTCCCACAGTTAAGAGTTTCCTATATACATATTTCTCACTAAATTGTTCTCCCCCATAGCTTCTTCAATTCCTAAGCACAATCTTGATCCTAGAAAAATATATAAGATGTGAGTGTAAAGTTGTCATGCTGATTTTTATCAATTAGTTGGGGAAGTTGTATTCATTGGTATAATCATAACTTACGTGTATAGGTCTTAATGTGTCCACTTGAAATATACTTCCATGATTAATACAAAAGGTATCATCTCAATTATGTAAAAAAAAATTTCTAGGTTTTTGTTTAGAAACAATAATTTTAACTTTACAACTTTACTTTTATTAATATTATTTTATTGTTTAAAATAAAATCTTATCAATAATTTTTAATGGAAGGTTTTCTAATTTATTTACTAATTCTCATGCTGAATTTCAAAGCAACTTTGGCCATCCAATTTCCTAAAATAATTATAGCAATAAAAATATCAGGTTTTTTTCTTTCACTACATTATGTTATACAAAGTAGAGTTAAATGTGCACTCCAGTTCTAGAGCATCCTAACTAACCTGTTTTCTGCTAAATCATTTGCAAACTTTACTGGCTATAAGTGCCACACTAAATTTAAGTAATTGTTATTCAGACATACCAGTTCTGATTCCATTATTATCTTCTATTGTGAATTTTCCAGGATAAGTAGACACAGAATAACCAAGAAATTGTTCATAGGCTGCAGCTGGGCTATTCTCGTGGCCTAAGACACTCAATGGGGTCAACACAGGAAGATGGATACCATTTGGCAGGTGCTAGAAGTAGGAGTGTTTCGGGGACTTTTAAGTCTTTTTCTGCTACTACTCTATTTGTTTCTCATCTATTTGTTAGTTGCTTTTTCCTCCCCTCCCCCAGCCCCAATCAGTTTCCAGGCACTATGTGTCAGGAAGCTGTCTCCACCATCTCCACCATCCATTTCCTCTTGTTTTGCTGGGGGGAAATGAAGAGCAGCTGCAGCTATTCAGCAGCCTCATCAGTGGAAGATGAAAATGATCATCATTTAATCAACAAGCACTGCTGAGTGCCCATTATCATTATGCTGTTTCTCAAGCCGCTCATCTTCGGGACAAGCATTCCCAGCTCATTTTATTCATCTATTTTTTTCTGCTTAGTACATTTTCTGTGTATTTTTAATTATGCACCTAAAATTGAGACATACATTTCTTTAAAAAAAATTTTTTTTAGTAGAGACGAGGTCTTGCTATGTTCCCTGGACTGGCCTCAAACTCCTGGGCTCAAGCTATCCTTCCCACCTTGGCCTCCCAAAGTGGTGGGATTACAGGCATGAGCCACCGTAGCTTGGCCAAGAAATATATTCCTTTAAAAGGTTTAGGCTGACATCTAACCATTTCAAAAAAAAAAAAACTCCTATATTTTTCACTGTTCAACACCCTCCCAGCATCAGCTAAATTCACAAAGAAAAAAGAAATCTAAAGTCTGAAACAGTCCATTTAGAAATCTTTTTTAGGAGATAAAATATGGACCTAAAAAAAGAAGATACACACACACACACAGATAATTCCAAGGAATTAAGCATTGTTCACAAGTGTAAGGTAGACTGCTCTGCATCCAGATAATGCATGAAAAAAATAATGTTTTAAAACTACCCATAAATGGATTACACATTAAAAGAAAAAGAAATTGAATTATCTTTCAGTGATAAGAATTCTTTCAATTATTATACAATTTTCACATTGTGGCATTTTCAGCATTTGTGATTAAATTCATACGTTGTTCGTTGAATTATTGATTTACATTGATTAAATTTGATGTTTATGATAGAATTTTCCAGAGTTGGGTAGAAAGGGGTGCTCCCAGGATTAAAGCCAAGTATATTATCACTGTCAAGTTTCTCACCATATCCTAGCTGGGAGATAATAAAGTCCAATTCCTCGATGGTGTGGATACTTGTGAGGTCACCGCCTTCCTTCCTGCAGGTGGTCAGAGCATCCCTCTGGATTTTTTTCTCATCTCTGTGAATCTTGTAACAGTGACCGGCATACGGCCACCACTGACTAGGACAGTGAGTAGGCACATCACTTTCTAGAAACAAAAAGGGGGGTCGGAAAAAAATTTTAAAAGATTTGATTAAAACTATAACAATATTTTAATCATTTTATATAATACATGAAACAGCTTATAGTTACTAGGCAAATAAAGGTAACATTTAGTTTTTATTTTCGCAGCATACATATTCACCAAAAATAGACAAGGCATATACTATTTTGTTGGTTTTTAGACAAAACAAAATAACCTACTTTTTAATCAAATGGGAAATCACCTTATCAACTTTCTTTCTTTCTTTTTTTTTTTTTTTTAAGAGACAAGGTCTCCCTCTATTCCCCAGGCCAGAGTGCGGTGGTGTGATCATGTCTCATTGCAGCCTCAACCTCCTGGGCTCAAGCAGTCCTCCTGCCTCAGCCTCCTAAGTAGCTGCTACTACAGGGCATAAGCCACTGTACTTGGCTATGGGAAATCTCTTTTTAAAAAGTTATATCTACAACAAGACTATACTAATACATATTAGATTATCTAAATCTTGTCAGCAAACCTGAACTAAGCATCTGTTATGCACTGTTTAAATGCTGGAGGCCTGAAAGCTTTGGGGGACTAAACACATCCCCTAAAAGATTTGAATTTACTTTATTCTATGGACATTAGGGAGCCAGTCACTCTTGAGAGGCAGGTTAGTGTTGAAGTAGAGAGCTGGAATGGCTGGGGGACAAACGGTCTCCAAGGAGCCTCCGCCACCATAGCCACATGAGTCAGCCACTTGTTGCCTCAGAACAGACCCACTACCATTTAGTTGCTACCCAAAACTGACACGTGCTTGTGACTAGGAGAGGGATCTGGAGTCATAACTCCTAAAACCTGAATTTGCGGTAAGTTGTGTGATCTTCGGCAAGTCACATCACATGAAAAGGAGTACCCATATAGGTGAAAATTTTTAAATGAGATTAGTACTAACACTAATATCAAACCACCCACCCCATGTTCTTCTGAACTAGAAAAGAATAGAGAGAGTGTGCTTGTAAATCACAAGCACCACACAATCATTATTTAATTAAACCAGCTGTCAACATCCTCAGCCTCGCTACTAATAGGATCAAATTGTATAATCTTGATTATACGCTGCAAAAATTTAATAGTAATGAGCTAGGGGAAAGTGACAATAAAGACATTTGAAGGCAGATGTTTATTCATCCCTATTGCCTTGAGCCTGGCACAGGGCCTGGTACATATAAGCGTATTGAGTATTGGAAGAGAAAAAGAATTGAAGTTATAGTTGATATATGGCTGCTTGTTATTACTATTCTAGAGATACTATTTCAAACAGTAATTTGGCAACATGTTTTGCTTAGAAGGGGACTATATTGCCAAATGAAAGTGAACGTATATATTATTTAAGCTCATATTAAATGTTTTCAAATGGCTGTCTTAGTATATGTTCGTTATAGGGTACCTTTCTTCACTATTCCTTTGATGAATTGGTCGTATCTTCCCTTAAAGGTGGAGAGTATCTGAAACATCATTGTTTAAGCCCAGGATTTTGTGCCCTGCAGTCATACAAGTAACTACTCAGTCATGAGGCTCAAATGCTGTACAATTGTAATAAAAAATGCATATTTAAAAAAATTCTATTCCCTCAATACAATTTAGATTCTGTGCACTTCCAGTGGTTACAAAAAAAAAAAGAAGAAAAAGAAAAAGAAAGCAAGCTTAGTACAGCTTTGGAGCCCTCTGGTGGGTTATTTTAATTTTGCTACCTAGGAAATTGAAAATAGTATCAGCCAATGCTGTCCTTCAAAAACTGAAATGATGAACTTTAAACATATTTGAAAGCATGAAAACAACCAACTTGAGTGAAATGAAGGGGAGTTCCCTGGGGCAGCCACAGAAGATGATTTGTTCCTCTAGCCACAGCTCATGTGCTCAGTGGCCACATGCGGTTAAGTGGCTGCTAAGCCAGAGAGTACAGCCCTAGAGACCTGAGGATTATGGACAAACGGGTTAGTGTTACAATAATTCACAGGGTTTGAGGTTGAATTCTTGCCTAAGGCTGTTGCTAATCCCGTATGCTGCATAATTTGAACTCTGATACGCTTTTCCAAGCTCTGGTTTATTTGAGTTTATAGATAAAACAGAATCATTAATCCAGGGAGTATAGAGATGTTCAGAAACTGACATCAAGTGGTTAGCGAGTGAAGAAGGCATCATGGAGGAATAAGAATGTACTGAGTGTTTGATGAAATGAACAAAATTTTATCTCAGGAAGAAGAGTCATGAACATTTCCATTTTACACATGAGGATCCCAGCACCGGCAGGTTAAGCAGTAAGGCCAAGTTACAGAATTCTGAGTGCTGTACCAGAGAAACTATAAAGTAACTATTCTCCTCTTTGGCAACATGGAAATTCCAAGTCTTAGAAAGAGAATTGTAATGAAGGCTTCCAAAAAAGGAAAAAATACACTATTTCTCCTAGAGGAGGAATAGTAGAGGTAAAATGCAAAAATGGTGAGCTTTCTCTAAAGATACCCACCGTCACTATGGAGAGCCTGTAAAGGATAATCAAACCCAACATCCAGGTCCCGCATCTATATCTATTTAGGATCTTGGCCAAATCTATATCAATTAAAATTGCAAACACATCTCCTCCCTAATCCAACAATTCCACTTCCAGGAATGATCACATGCATGAAATGATGTGCATAGAATGTATATAGTTATTTACCTCAGGACTGTTTGTATTAATAAAAGATTGGAAGTAAATTAAATTAAAAATCCATTACACAGGAGATCGGTCAAAAAAATATATGTGCTGTCTCTGCAATAGCTTTTGGACAGCCATAAAATTAAACATAGAAGCTGTTTATATTCTACGTGGAATGATGTCCAAAATTGTTGTTAAGTGGAAAACTTAGGATAAAAACATATTATAGTATACTGCCATTTGTATGAAACAAAAATAATTATAAATATATTTGTTTATATAGTCACAGAATAACTAAGGATACACACCCAGAAACAATTATTCTCCAGGAAGGTAAACTGGGTGTTACAGGTGAGAGGTAGGGAAAACCTTATTATTTATCATGTTGTATCTTTTGAATCTCTAGCTATGTCAAGCGTATTTTAAAATACATGAAATTGCTTTCAAAGCCAATGGGAAGAAAAAAACAAGAATGCCACATTGTCAGTTTCCTCCAGCAGAAAAACAGAAATAAATTAAACCATTTAAAGCATTCGCTGTCCCTCCAAAAAGAGGTAATAATAAAAAATATGTAGTTTGTCTTTCATCAATTGGAAGAAAGAATTCTTGCCTTAGTAGTTTATTCTCCTATAAAATTGTAAGGGACAACACAATTGATTTTTTTTTTTCTTGAAGTCTAGCCGATATTTAAAATTCAGTTACAGGCCAGGCACGGTGGCTCATGCCTGTAATCCCAGCACTTTGGGAGGCTGAGGTGGGTAGATCACCCAAGGTCAGGAGTTCAAGACAAGCCTGGCCAACACAGCGAAACACCATCTCTGCTAAAAATACAAAAATTAGCTGGGCGTGATGGCACACATCTGTAATCCCAACTACTCGGGAGGCTGAGGCAGGAGAATCACGAACCCAGGAGGCGAAGTTTGCAGTGAGCTGAGATCGCGCCATTGTACTCCAGCCTGGGTGACAGAATGAGACTCTGTCTCAATAAATAAATAAAATTCAGTTACAACTTTTTAGATATTTTATTCTATTTTATGAAAACTTTAGTATAAGACGCTACACTGAATAGCAAGGAAGCCCAGATAGAGCCGTGAGGACCTAATATAAACATCCCTTCCAAATGTTGACTTTCTAGCTTGGATTCCGGTTTTGCCATGTCTGCAAGGTTTCTGTATCCTCTGAATATCTTTTTCCTCAACTATAGCATGTGAATCATGACACCTACCTCAGAGGACTGATTGGGAAGGTAACATTTTTATTTAGGTCAGAGGATCTCCACAATGCCCAGACACCGCCGCACACTCAGGAAATACTAGCAACCAGCACACAGAAATATTGCAGTAATATCATTAAGTTTACCCCATCAACTATCCACAAAACCTCTGGCGGCATTCCAACAGTTACACCTAAGCTGTAATGTTACTTATCTTTCAATTCTAATAGTTGAGGCACTTCAGATCCCATAGATCACTTACCTGAGGGAATAACAAAAGAATTTAAAGTGGTGTTGCCCTTTTTGCAAATATAGCCCAGTTTCTGAACACATTCCAGATTTTCCCATTTAGCATTTTTTCCAGGATTTAGTGACACACAGCTTTTTCCAGGTTCAGCTGATGGACTTCCTTCGAGGAAAAGGAAAAGTTAAAGTGGACTATTATAGCTATTCCCAGCAGATAGCATCCCTCCCACGTCTCCTCATGTCTTCATCCTGGGGATTCAATGGACCACCATTCTGTCTTTTGCTACACATTCACAAAAAAATATTTACTGACTGCAGAGCAAAAGACACGATGGGTGTCTATTGTTTTCTTATCGTTGGATCATTCCAATACTTAGAATGTTGATAAAGCAAATATACTTCTTTGAAACAACCCTTTCCCCCATTATCAGCTAATAAAGCTACACCTTAAAACTTGAACAGTTGTCACAACGGATTACATTATCAAAGAGAGGTACCTAATGAAAAGAATGCATGATTATGCCGCCATAAAAAAAAATGAAATCATCATGTCCTTTGCAGCAACATGGATGCAACTAGAGGCCATTATCCTAAGCGAATTAATGCAGAACAGAAAGCCAAATAGCCATGTTCTCACTTCTAAGTGGGAGCTAAATACCGAGTACTCATGGACACAAAGATGGCAACAACAGAAACTGGGGACTATGAGATGGGGGAGGAATGGAGGGTAACAAAGTTTGGAAAACTAGCTACTGGGTTCTATGCTCACTGCCTGGTTGATGGGATGGATCATTTATATCCCAAACCTCAGCAACATGCAATTTACCTAGGTATGTAACAACCGTGTACATGTATCTCTGAATCTACAAGTAGAATTTATTAAAAAGAAAGAATACATGATGTTCCAAACCTGCCACACTAAACATTATTAGGGCAGGGCACGGTGGCTCACGCCTGTAATCCCAGCACTTTGGGAGGCTGAGGCGGATGGATCAACTGAGGTCAGGAATTCGAGATCAGCCTGGCCAACATAATGAAACCCCATTTCTACTAAAAATACAAAAAAATCGGCCGGGGAGCTGGCGGGCACCTGTAATCCCAGCTACTTGGGAGGCTGAGGCAGGAGAATTGCTTGAACCTGGGAGGCAGAGGTTGCAGTGAGTGGAGATCACACCACTGCACTCCAGCCGGGGTGACAGAGTGAGACTCTGTCTCAAAAATAAAAATAAAAATAAATGGAGGAGAAAAAGCTAATGGGAGAGCTAGATGGGCAGCATGCTGTGCTCCCAGAACTAAAACTGTCTCAATATCTTCAACTCAGCCTACTGAAGAAGACTTTCAGCAGCTATGCCTTATCCATTTCTTAGTGGAAACTGATTAAAGAACCAGATAAAGTCAACGTTGCTAAAGGGATGAATGTAGGCATTGATACATTTCACATGCGTTTTGCTACTCTAATATATGATTTAAAAACCAGTACTCCCCAAACTAGCTTCACCTTCCACCTGAAGACAGGGTGAATGAGCCACATTCTGTTAATACCTATGCTTTGTGACCTCCAATGTGTATGTAACCTGTGCCTGAATGTCACTTCCTTTCCTGCAAGACGGAAATCATATTACCTGCTCCACAAAGTCTGGAGCAGGTAATAACCTAAATAACCTTTTTAAAGTTTTGGTGGTATTCTTTGTGTGGTAATTAAATGATTTTTTTAAAGTTTATTTAACTACCACACAAAGAAAATAATGGTTAGTAATAAGCATTAAGTTATCTTTTTTTTTTCTTTTTGAGATGGAGTTTTGCTCTGTCACTCAGGCTAGAGTCCAGTGGCGTGATCTCAGCTCACTGCAACCTCCACCTCCTGGGTTCAAGCAATTCTCTGCCTCAGCCTCCTGAGTAGCTGGGACTACAAGTGCCCACACCATGCCCAGCTAATTTTTGTATTTTTAGTATAGACGGGGTTTCACCATCTTGACCAGGCTGGTCTTGAACTCCTGACCTCGGGATCCACCCGCCTCAGCCTCCCAAAGTGCTGGTATTACAGGCGTGAGCCACTGCACCTGGCCAAAGTTATCTTAAAGTTAGTAATAAGCATAAAGTTATCATAAAGTTAGTAATAAGCATAAAGGTATCTTAAACATTTGCTGATACTGTAACTAAAATAACAGGATAACTGAACTAACAGATAAGGTATCAGCACTAAAAAGAAACTTTCAAACAAATACATTTCTAGCTCTAAGTTATTAATTGATGTGCTAATTAGTAAATCATATTACACATTTATTTATCAATACAATACCTCTCTCAACTTTGAGACATCAACTAGTGGTTTTGATGTTTACCATAGTTATTATATATTTGAATTCACACTTGTACATCATTTATGCAAAACATCCTCACTTCAAAAGTGAATATATTTTAATATTTTCATTACTTGGTAATTATTCAATTGAATGCTTGACTGAACAAATATGAAACCGATTTTTAATTTCCACAAGATCTCTAATTTTAGTTGGAAGAAACTCTCATACTATTTCGCAAGGTGATTTAATCTTGCACCTACTTCTTAGGAATTGAAGTTTAATTTTAGAAAGCATTTGCTTCCCTTTCTTAATCATATTCCACTTTCATTCTTTACTCCACCCAAAGTTAACCCGGAAGTTTTCTCCCTGAACTCGTAGGATGCAAGCGGTTAAATATAATCATCACCCCCAAGTGAATAAATTAAATGACTGCCTAATATGTATAAAAATTTAGCAACACAAAGAAGAATAAATTCTAGTCCCCTAATAAGTTTTATTGTCTAATAATCTGATTGAGGCCAACTAGTATTCTCTAATTGCATCTGGCTGAATAGGTAGACAGACACCTAAATTTTCACGCACAAAAAAGGATATTTTATATGTATTCCCTTGCAGTAAGTCTTCCCATATTCCAGAAATTTTTACCTTCCATGTTCCAGAAAAAAATAGAACTGATTATTGGCTCAAGACTTGAGTGACAGCACTGTAACCATCATATGTTGAAGTAACGCTTTGAAACTGGAATTTCAGAGTAAAATCTAATTTATTTAAGCCAAAATATATTCTCTAAAAATTTTCTCGTGTTTTAGCATCTATTTGAAATATTATTTTATTGAAGTTTTTCTTCTTTTAATACAATAAACCAATATAGAAAATGGAGATTTTCGCCAGGCGCAGTGGCTCACGCCTGTAATCCCAGCACTCTGGGAGGTTGAGGCAGGCCACATCACTTGAGTTCAGAAGTTCGAGACTGGCCTGGCCAATGTGGGGAAATCCCATCACTACAAAAAATTAAAAAATTAGCCAGGCATGGTGGTGCATGCTTGTAATCCCAGCCTCTTAGGAGGCTGAGGCACAAGAATGACTTGAGCCAGGAAGGCTGAGGTTGCAGTGAGCTGAGACTGCGCCACTGCACTCCAGCCTGGGCAACAGAGTGAGACCCTGTCTCAAAAACAAAAACAAACAAACAAACAAAAATGGAGAGTTTAGTTTTCTAAGCCAAATGCGAAAACCACTCAATGGCTTTAAAAGAGAAGTCTGACTGTCTGAAGAACACCGTATTATAATGGTATGGCCCATAGGAGATTTGATAAGATGTGACCAATATGATACTTCTCTCCTTTCCCACACCCACGGCAGACGTCACTAATCATTAATTGCACTCTTTCCTAAAAAAAAAAAAAAAAAATGGCACTGGGGTGGGATTGAGGGGTGGGGATTGAATTTATACCCAATAGAAGGCCTCAAGTGGCTACTAACGCCAGTTGGTACTGGTGAATAAGAAAAACTTTATATCATTTTTTTGTTTTCTCTAAATAGTTGCTCAATATGTAAACTTATTTTATATTCTGTTACTTTCATGTTATGACAATGTAGAAATAATTAGTTCACAGCATTTTCTATCCTCTAAAAAAATTAGAAAGCTGTTGTAGGTTTTATCATCCCCAACTCTGTTTTTCTATAAACTACTGTTGAGAAACCTCTAATGAATTTTTATGCTAGTATGGAATATCATAAGCTGTAACTGAGATAGTATTTTTAAGCCGATGTTATTAAATCAAAAACAGGAAAAGTGGGTGTTAATGTAGATGTTAAAATCACTGTCACAAGGACAGCAATATTGCAAATACCTCATGACTCAAGGTACAGTCATAAAAAATCTCTCCAACCCAAAATAATTTCAATCCACTTGTCAAACTTTACAAAGAGATGTTGGCTAATCCTCTCAAGGATGTTGACAAAGTCAATGCAACAGCAAGTATATAGTAACAATGCAAGTAGCATATTTAGTAAATCATGTTTAAGAGTAGCCACAACATCTGCTTTTGAATATAGTACCCAACACATCAGGGATACTCTGAGAACTGAAACTTTAAACAGAGACCTTTATTGTTTTGTGTGAGAATCCTGGCAGACAAATCCCTATCCCAGGAAGCTGGTATAACCTTACAATTCAGTAAATGGAAATCTAGCATAGATTTCAAAACAAGGTGAAATGAACTGTATTTGATGAAGTCTCCCAATTCTTCTCTTTGAGATCAACAGGTGAGATAATAAACGTCTTCGGGGCGTCTAGATGACTTAAATTTGGATTAATTCGACACAAACAGGCTTAACCCTACCTGGTAACCAGTTCAAATATCGGAAAGGACTGCGGTCACTCCACTGCCAACCGCTGTTGAAGCTCAGACTGTTAAGTCCAATCCAGAGTCCTGAGGTCAAGGAACTGGTTAATCCTATATTTTTAAAGAAAGCAAAACAAACAAACAAGAACTTGGCATTCAGAAAACAGTTGAAATTAAATTCAGAACTAAGTGCTTGAATCAAAATGTCACTGAGGGAAGTAACAATAATCATGCCTACCATGTCTCCTTTGATTCTCCTGACAACCTAAGGCAAGTAAAATTATTACCTTCACTGATAGGTGGGGAAACGGAGGCAGAGGCAGCATAGGTAATCTGGTAAGATTTTTAAAGTTCCAACCCAGATCTAATGAGGCTTCAAACCCCATCATCTTGACTATTATCTACTTTCTCAAGGATAGTGTAAAGTCTTCTTGTGTGAATATGAATAGGTGTTACCTCCACTGCATATTTCAAACCTTATTCTAAGAATTTTATTTTATCATTTTTTAAAGTCAATTTCTCTTCTTCGTTAACATGATGATTAAATACTAATCACTAAGTGCTTATGCTAACACCAAGGATGCTTTGCTTAAGCAGTGAAGAAATCAAAAATACAATGTTTCCAATTCTGTTCTAGGACTGATGTGGAAGTCATAAAACCAGAAACAACACGGACCTCAGCTCTTCAGCGGTAAACACTCTAACCTATTATTACCGCTCTTTTTTTTTTTTTTTTTTGAGTTGGAGTCTTGCACTGTCGCCCAGGCTGGAGTTCAGTGGCTCAATCTCCACTCACTGCAACCTCCTCCTCTCGGGTTCAAGCGATTCTCCTGCCTCAGCCTCTCGAGTAGCTGGGATTACAGGTGACCGCCACCACGCCTGGCTAATTTTTTTTTTTTGTATTTTTAGGAGGGATGACATTTCACTATGTTGGCCAGGCTGGTCTCAAACTCCTGACCTCAGGTGATCCGCCCACCTCAGACTCCCAATATGCTGGGATTACAGGCGTGAGCCACCATACCCTGCCACCTCTATCTTTTTTGAAACCATCAATGAGAATTCTCTGTTCTGAGTTATTTTAATTGATCAAAAGCAATTAATTAAAATAAAAACTATCCTTTGGCTTTTAAAAACATTTTTTAAATTTATTTTTATTTTTTAGAGATGGAGTCTCACTATGGTGCTCAGGTTGCTCTCCAACTCCTGGGTCCAAGCGTTCCTCCTACCTCAGTCTCCTAAATAGCTGGGACTACAGGGTACACACCACTGTACTCAACAACCTTCAAAAAAATTCTTTAAAAGAATTTTCACAAATTCTTTAAAGTTGTACTAACTTAAATATAATTATCTTTCTACTTGCACAGACGTATTCTACAGGACATGCTCCTAAAAGTAGCATTTTAATACTAGCTATTCCCAAAACCAATTTACTCAGGGATTTTAAAAAACTTAATTACGAAAATAAGTGTATTTAAGTTTTAAAAATTATAAATAATTCGCTGATTAAAGAAGAACTGAAGTAGATATTGAGACTGCGTAACTAAATTACTATGTTTGGCATCATGAGAAATGATAATAGCTCTTTAAGAGAATTACCTTTTGACATCTTTTACCAGCTCTAAGTACTTATAAACTTGTCTTGAAGAACTGAATTAGTTAATACTTTTTAAAACAAGGCCTGACATATGGTATATGCCCCATAAATATAAGTTACTACTGTTATTATTACCATTATTATTATTATTATCAATAGCTTCATATTAAGGTTGGCAAAGGTGTGACTTAGAAGCAAAATTCAAATCTTGGGTTAAAATATATCTCTTAAAGCAGATGGGTGTTGTCCACAAATAATTTTCTCTAATATGCTTTTGTAATTTTATAAAAGAGCAGACCAAAATATTTTAGTATTGCTGCACAAAGCAACAATTCCACATGCTAAATTTTTGTTGTTTGTTTTGTTTCCAGACACCAACTCAAACCAGAAATTTTTTTTGTACAGTTGGGGTCTTACTGTAGTGCCCAGGCTGATCTCGAACTCCTGAACTCTAACAATCCTCCCACCTCAGCCTCCCAAGGCTCTGGGGTTACAGGCGTGAGCCACTGCGCCCAGCCTCACATGCTCAAGGCGTAACTTTTCTGCATATATTGTCTGAAATGGTTATATACCAACTTTTGAACTTAGATGTAATAGAAGATACACAAATGTCCAATATTACACTGTTTTTTTTACTTTCTTTTTTTTTTTTTAATTGAGGTCCAATGTGTTTTTCAGGCAGTACCAAAGGAAACTGGTAAAAACCATCGGGGAAACAAGCCAAATTTCACTTCCTATATCTTATTTCAGTTCTGTAAATCCTCATCCTGCACATACGGAGCCACAAATCTGATTCAGGACTCAGAGACTCCATAGAGCGTCCCAACATTTTTCGGGGTAGAAACAGAAGGGAAGACGATAAAACAGCTGTGGGTAGTGTGCAAACGTGTTGCCAGGCAGAAACATTTCACCTGGCAGATAATATGAAATCAGATCACCACCAATCTGGAACACATTTACTGGAGCCAGGAAATGTTGACAAAATTAAGGGTTCTCATCAGTGCTTTGGGAACCAGCGGATCCCCGGGTGTTCTGTGCGTGAGACACAGGCAGGGTGAAATGGAAGACAGGGCTGAATTCCAGTTCAGCTGTTTTCTAAACAGGAGGCATTAAGCAAGTTTCCTAACTTCTCCCTCCTAGTCTGTTATCTCATCTATACAGTGGGGCTAATAATATTTATTCATGAGGTTGCTGTGGGCTTTAGAACTAAAGCCCAGAAACTAGTATGTAGTAGCTCTTCAGTAATTGGCAGACAATTTAATTAGAGTCATCAAACCAGGTTCTACATTTTTAAAAAATGATACTGACTGGCCGAGCATGGTGGCTCACGCCTGTAATCCCAGCACTTTGGTAGGCTGAGGCTGGTAGATCAGCTGAGCTCAGGAGTTCAAAACCATCCTGGGCAACATGGTGAAACCCTGTGTCTACTAAAATACAAAAAATTAGCCAGGCTTGGTGGCACATGCCTGTAGCCCCAGCTACTCAGGAGGCTGAGGCACGAGAATCACTTAAGTCCTAGTGCCACTGCACTCCAGCCCGGGCGACAGAGTGAGACTTTGTCTCAAAAAAAATAATAATAATAAATAAAATAAAATAAAATAAAATAAAAAGATACAGACTTTTCAAAACCCTCACATAAAAGAAAACTTATTTTAAAAGTGTAAATATTTTGTAGGTTGTTTTTTCATTTTAATGGCATATTTTCCAAAATAGAGTGGATTGCAATTACACACTCACACCACTGTTTTCTGGATTATTCCCCAATATATCTCAATCAACACTGAGTATCATCCCTTTCTTTCAAATAAACAGTGGGGAGGGAATATCTTTCCCCTATTTTTTAAATTCCCTGTCAGAGTTTTTCTTGTCCTAATGCCTGACATTTTTTACTTAAAGAAAGGCAGGAAGTACTACAAATCTCGTTAGAGATGCCATTCTTATCCAGATGCCAGTGAAAATTTGCTGACTGAAATTCCGGAGGCTTGGATAAGATTCAAGTAAGTATCTGAGGTGAACCCAGCCTCTGGATCTCCTGGGGCTTGTTTGCTGTCCTGATAGACACAAGAAAAGCCCTTGCTGATTAGGGAAGCATTTCCTGCAGCTCGAGTCCGATAGCAGAGTCCGGGAACCAGGAAATGAGTCTGTGCTTGGGCAAAGCCGCTGTCCGCTCAGATCACTTGCTCCTTCTCTGTAGCTGGTGGAGAGCGCACAAAGTAACCTGTGCTCTGTCCCCAGGCTTCCAAGAGATAACACACCCCACAAATAAATTCAAACACAAAAACCAAAAACACATCAACTGAAACCATTTCACCTCTGCACCTCTGATATATTTTCTTTCCTTTTTTTTTAAATTTTTATTTATTTATTTATTTTTGAGACGAGTTTCACTCTTGTTGCCCAGGCTGGAGTGCAATGGTGCGATCTCGACTCACTGCAACCTCCACCTCCCAGGTTCAAGCCATTCTCCTACCTCAGCCTCCCGAGTAGCTGGGAATACAGGAGCCTGCCACCGTGCCCAGCTAATTTTTTGTATTTTTAGTAGAGATGGGATTTCACCATGTTGGCCAAGCAGGTCTCAAACTCCTGACCTCAGGTGATCCACCCACCTCGGCCTCCCAAAGTGATGGGAATACAAGGGTGAGCCACTGTGCCCAGACCACCTCTGATACATTTTCTCTCGTGCCTGCAAGTCTGCCCAAATAACCACAAGACTGCCTCGAATCATCTTTTCTATTCCTTAATCATCTACATAAATTTACTTTTGTCTATTCTGTACTTTCTCCTCTTCCTCCTTATTTTTGTGCATGGTTGTAAATATGAATCACTCTGATCCTTTCTGTTCCACTATTAGAAGGGTCCCAAAGGCTAATGCAAAACAGAATAATTGAGCAGACAGAGGAAGAACCCTATCTCTAAGACTATGAATCCACAGTGACATCATATTGCTTTTCTATCCTCGGTCTCCTTAATAATAACTTATAGGAGAGATGTGTTCTGGTTGGTGACGGGTGTCATCTGAAAATAGCTGGAAAAAGGTAGGTGCTAAGAAATGAGGCAAGGTAGGGAGTGTGCTCTTGCCCTTGTATTGGCTCACACACATTAGCTCTTTTAACAGACAAGGTCACCAAAGCACAGGTGCCTCAGCAAATCCCCACAAGCTCCCCCAGTTTCACAGAGCTGGGACCTAGGCAGTCTGGCTGCAGAATCTTTGCTCTCAGCCTCTCTGCTCTGCTGCCTGGTGTTAGCACCTGGATACAGCAGGAACTAACACAGTGTTTTGCCAGATATGGTCTTTCAACCAGCTGCCCCAGAATCACCCAGGAGTTTGACAAAAGGCAGATTCTTGTGCCCTGTGTCACACCTACTGATCTAGAGTCTTCGGGATCTCAGCCCAGGCATCATCACTTTAACAGAATTCCAAGGTGATGAATAAGCCACTTCACACAGAAGAACCACTGCATTTACTGTCTTCTTGCCATGACTGTCTAGTTTTCCAAACAGGAGACTGAATTTCTAAGTATTTTTATTTTGTTGCATGTTAACATGTCAGTCAGCAAATGTTTGGTGAGACCCTTCCTTGGAAGGCTCTGTGTGAACCTCCTTGGGGGAAGAGGGGTCATAAATATTCACAAGACATTCCCCGTTTTCAGCTATTTCCCCCTCTGACGCGATCTCCACATGGCCTTCAGTTTGCTTTCCATGCAGGACTTATTATAATTGGTACCTATTCATTTGTTTGTTTTCTTGTTTACATCTGTTTCTTCCCATTGGACTTTTAAGCTGCATGTGGACAAGACAGGGTCAGCTTTGATGTCCCCAGGACCTAGCACAAAGCCTGGCACATGGGTACAAGATATCTTGGGAATGAATGAATAAGTAAATAAATAATAACAAATTAATGTATTTATAGTGTTGTCAAGGAAGCAGGACATATGTGTAAGTAGCTATTATACTAATAAAAGTGGTAATAAGCAAATAAGAGAAATGCAGATGGAAATAGAATTGCATTTCAACTGTACACAATCGTGAGAATTCCAGGCAAAAGAAATGACATGGGAAAAGATGTGAGGGTGAGAATGGATGAGGAAAAACAAGGAATCCAAGACTGACTTTTCTTTTGTTGTGACCGCAAAATGCAAGACCGGGAATAGTACAGATGTTCAGCAGGTGGCAATCTTGAATGTCAGGCAAAATGTATTTTGTTAATTATTTGATGGGAAATGAGAAGCCACAAGGGGTTTTTTGAACATGGCAGTCATAGGAGCAGAGACAGACTAATATTAATATAGCCGTGTCCAGAAAAACTGGAGGGAGGAGATTTTGGGGGCAAGAAATCGGGGATGCTTTTGCTCCCACACTAATTTCTGATCCTAATCTCTCTGTTTCCCCAAGTGTATATTTTAGAAGCTAAAACGGATACTCTCTTCTCAAGCAAACTTTAGCCCTTTTAGTCTTCACAATCTAATAAAAACAGATATTTTAAAAACAAACACATTGGCCAGGCACGGTGGCTCACGCCTGTAATCCCAGCACTTTGGGAGGCCAAGGCAGGTGGATCACCTGAGGCCAGGAGTTCATGACCAGCCTGTCCAACCTAGTGAAACCCCGTCTCTACTAAAAATACAAAAAATTAGCTGGGCATGGTGGCAAGCACCTGTAATCCCAGCTACGTGGGAGGCTGAGGCAGGAGAATCATGTGAACCCGGGAGGTGGAGGTTACAGTGAGCTGAGATTGCGTCATTGCACTCCAGTCTGGGCTACAAGAGGGAAACTCCGTCTCAAAACAAAACAAAACAACACAACACAAAACAAAACAACATCAAAACCAAACACATTGTGGAAAGAGTATCAATAAAACCTGAAAACTGGTAGAGCCTGGGGGTTCGAGGGACAGGAGGCTAAAAGAACTCAGGGTTTCAGGGTTTCAAAACAGCCTCTGACTTGTCTCTGCCAGTGGTAGCAGTCTTTTAATTTATCATTTTGACCTCTATGAGGCTAATGAAAGACCTGTGGCTTCAGGTTAGACCTGGATGATGGATACTTGACCAGGATTGTTCCACTGCCTTGCGTCCAAGAACGACATCATTAATCGATTGTGGCATCTTTTACTCTGATTCTAGATTAGCCCTCAGAATCCTTCTTAGCACTGGCTCTAGAGACTCTTAAAACCAATAGTTGGCACAGGAAATGAGAGCTATTTGCCATCCCTGGTGTCATTTTCAGAGTACAGATTTGTCATGACATCCACATAAACTGCTTAAGAATTGCTTCTGTCATAACATCTATAAACACTTGTGCTGTTGACTTCTAAGTTAAATTATATAAAAATAAAGCAGTCATGATTTTACTTGAGACTTTTCATGTCCTTACCTGTCAGGTATGTTTGCTCATGAATCTCTGTGATGCTCAGGAGCTCAGCGTTCTGTTGTTGGCAGCTTTTCCTCGCCTGGTGCCACGTTAAAGCGGATTTGGAGTTTATCTGGTAGGAAACGCTGGTCAGCGGGTCTTTATTCCATAAGCTTTCACTGCCCTCAACTGTGAAAGAAATCAGATGGAATTTGGTTCATTATGCATAGAAAACACTTCCAGTGAATAGTATTATTTAAACCACCTAGGAGCATTTTTGCCTGAAGCACTTTCTTTCTTTCCTTTCTTTTTTTCCCCCTTTCTACTTTTTTTTTTTTTTTTTGAGACAGAGTCTTGCTCTGTTGCCCAGGCTGGAGTGCAGTGCTGTGATTCTGGCTCACTGTACTCTCCAACTCTTGAGGTTAAACAATCTTCCCACCTCAGTTTACCGAGTAGCTGGGACTCCAGGCATGCACCACCATGCCTGGCTAACTTTTTAACTTTTTGCAGAAATGTAGTCTCTCTATGTGGCCCAGGCTAGTCTAAAACTCCTGTTCTCAAGCCATTCTCCTGCCTCAGCTTCCCAAAGTGCTGGGATTACAAAGGTGAGCTACTATGCCCGGACTGTTTTACTTGTTTTTAAGATGACTTTGAGATTTTCTTTACTCCTGAAATGAAATAGGAAGTAGGGGATGAGGTTTCAAAGGATCAGCTACATCCAGTCTTTTCCACATGCCTAAAGAAAGAAAGGCAGGCACGATTTCCCTTTCGGGATCAATTGAGTTGGGAAGTGAGACAAATATAAAGACAATAGACCTTGGATACTACAAAAGGTGGGAGGGTGGGAGGGTGAGGATTCAAAAATTATCCATTGGGTACAATGTTCACAGTTCGGGTACCCAGACTTTGCCATGATGCAATATATGCATGCAAGACATCTGCACATATACCCCCTACATATATAAAAATAAAAATAGCCGGGCACAGCGGCTCACGCCTGTAATCCTAGCACTTTGGGAGGCCGAGGCTGGCGGATCACAAGGTCAGGAGATGGAGATCATCTTGGCTAACACAGTGAAACCCCATCTCTATTAAAAATACAAAAAAAATTAGCCGGGCGTGGTGGCGGGCGCCTGTAGTCCCAGCTACTCGGGAGGCTGAGGCAGGAGAATGGCGTGAACCCGGGAGGCGGAGCTTGCAGTGAGCCGAGATCGCGTCACTGCACTCCAGCCTGGGCGACAGAGCGAGACTCCGTCTCAAAAACTAAATAAATAAAAATAAAACTTTTTTTGTTTGTTTTGTTTTGTTTGAGACAGAGTCTCGCTCTGTCGCCCAGGCTGGAGTGCAGTGGTGCAATCTCGGCTCACTGCAAGCTCCGCCTCCCGGGTTCACGCCATTCTCCTGCCTCAGCCTCCCCAGCAGCTGGGACGACAGGCACACGCCGCCACGCCCGGCTAATTTTTGTATTTTTAGTAGAGACGGGGTTTCAAGGTGTTAGCCAGGATGGTCTCGATCTCCTGACCTTGTGATCCACCCGCCTCGGCTTCCCAAAGTGAATAAAACATGTTTTAAAAGAACGGATACCAGCCCAAATTCCTTGATCTAGTAAAGTAAGGCAGGGGAAGCAAAGAAAATAAACGTACATCTTCTCAGCAGGTGGATATTTTGCCTTTGCCTGCACATTCTAGTTTGGTCTTTCTGGAAGCATAAGATTGTCAGCAGGGAAGGTCACGGACTCCTGCAGACAGACTGGCCTGGGCCTGCACCTGAGGTCCTATCGCTCACTGGAGACTTGACTTCAGATAAATTATTAACTTTTGAAGTCTCGTTTTCTCATTGCTAGAATATATTTAATACAGGTGGAGCGCTTAGCAATAGCAAATGTTGCTTGTAACTTTTTCATTCCACAGAGTAAAAAATCACAAGCTGATTTCTTCCTTTGCTATTTTATGATTCCTAATAAATTCCATAAACCTGGTTGTACTCTGTAAGCGGCCAATGATATACAAATAAATATTATTGATAGTTTTTCACATATATGATGTTTGCGAAGCTAGTAAACAAATGAAATATTTTGGCATGCTTCATGTAGTGAATATTTCTTTTTTCTTTTTAATAATATAAAATTCTGCTTACAAGCCATGTGAAGTAATGATCTTTTCATTTATTTGTAAGGAAAAAAGGAAGTATTATATAACTTCTCTGAAAATGTTCTGAGAAATACTCAATTTACTAAGAAATTAGGCAATTTTCCATAAGCACATAGCCTACACTCTTGTAACTCTTAACTGTATCTAATTGCCCTTTATATCTGATGAGGAAGCGATCATAGACCTTTTTGTAATATGCAAACCACACACCATGATATGAAACTTGTGGTCCCATGACATATCAAAGAGGAAGAAAACATATCAAAATTTGATTCAGGCAACAGCATACAAATTTTTAAGGTGCTTTAACTACAAAATCATTATATGCTTATATAAAAATAAATTTGAATCAGTAATGCTAAATTTAAATTATAATGATCTGAGGTGTTGCAAGTTTCATGTGTATGTCGGTGAGACCATTCAAATAAGACTAATTTGGGGTATATTTGAAGATAGAGATGTTTTAAACAACTCGTTTTAGACAACTGGAGGAAGGTTTTGTTTATAATATGGTAGAAAATGCGGGCGCCATGGCTCACGACTGCAATCCCAGCACTTTGGAGTCTGAGGTGGGCGGATCACAAGGTTAGGAGTTCGCGATCAGCCTGACCAACATGGTGAAACTCCGTCTCTACTAAAAATACAAAAAAAAAAAAAATTACCCAGGTATGGTGGCACGCGCCTGTAATCCCAGCTACTCAGGAGGCTGAGGCAGGAGAATCACTTGAACCCGGGAGGCAGAGGTTGCAGTGAGCCGAGATCATGCCACTGCACTCCAGCCTCAGTGACAGAGCAAGACTCTGTCTCCAAAAATATATATATATATATAGTAGAAAATGTGAGACATAAAAAAGGGTTTTGTTGTTGTTTTTAAACCTAGGAATGGAGGCAAGTGACATAAATGACGTAAGAAGGAAATGCAATTGACCTTTCACTTAAAGAAAGTACATTTTAAACCAAGGGATTTAAACATATTTCTCAATTAATGTTTAGGTTTGCTGATTGCATACCATCTCCCCAAGGAGTTCAAATTCCCACAGTAAACCAACACAACTGATGCTGGAAGCTAAACTTGCTACAGAGAACTGAGAGAACCAAGAATTTTCCTTTACCTGTTCTCACGATACTTGAAAATAAATGTCTACATGGAAGGAAAGCATTACAATAAACAATGCAACGGACAATGGAGAGCATCTACTAAGTGTTACTAGGTTAATAACTGGTTCCTCATCCTCCTGTATAAAACCTGCCACTTTTAAGGCTGATATAAAATAAAATGCTCGTCCGGGCACGGTGGCTCACACCTGTAATCCCAACACTTTGGGAGGCCGAGGTGGGTGGATCATTTGAGGTCAGGAGTTCGAGACCAGCCTGGGCAACATGGTGAAACCCCTTCTCTACTCAAAATACAAAAACTAGCCAGGCGTGATGGTGGGTGCCTGTAATCCCAGCTACTCAGGAGGCTGAGGCAGGAGAATCACTTGAGCCTGGGAGGCAGAGGTTGTGGTGAGCCAAGATCATGCTAATGCACTCCAGTCTGGATGACAGAGTGAGACCCTGTCTCAAAAATAAATAAATAAATAAATACAATAAAAACTCTTTTGAAAAGAACACAAAATGAAACAGACTGGAAGACTATAAAGCCCTTTAAGAAAGATATTAAATGTACAAAACGTGATTTAAAATTTTAATGCATATTGAAACCAAATCAATTTATTTTCTACGATTATTTTACATTTAACAGGAAAAAATATATAATTTGACAGTGAAGGCATAAATACAAGTAATAAGACTAAAAAATTATTCCACTGAACAAACTCAAGATACGTCTCCAACACACATCCAAGGATTTCCAAGATTGTGAGTTTTCTTTGTGATTAGTAACTTACCACTTGTCCTCCACATTTCATTCAGGAAATCACACATTCATCTAACTCCTTTGTCAATTTCAAAGGATGTGGAGGATGCTATAGTTGGACCCATGAAATATATACCCTTAAGAAAGTCCATGAAACAGATTAAGAAAATATCATTCCTATTAAGTAAAGGAGAAAGACACTTTCAATCACTTGAAAACCAAGTATTGCTTTATCTTAGAAAAAAATTGCTCAATGTGTTTCAGACAAAAATACTTCGAATACAAAATTCGACATCTAAAAACCTTGAATGGAAATCAAATGTCTTTCTAAAGATTGACATAAGAGAGACAAATAGAACTACCTCAGTTAAGACCGAGGCAGCAGTGTCGCTATGAACAGAAAGCCTATGGGCTTTTGTGAGTATTCATTCGGATTGGAGAGACTGCACTCTGAAGACAATTACAATAGTATATGGGGCTCAGAAATTAAATTTACTTTTAGTGTGATAATTAGGGATTATAAATCCAGAGAGATAAATAAGTACAATTCTTAGAATTCTGGCTTTTGTTCGTCAAATTCAGGTATTTTTTAAGTTGTTCTGTTTTACAATAATGCTTGAAATAGTGTGATTACTTGTGGATTTGTGGTCTGGAAAGTTGAGTTGTGATAGTCGTGATTCTATTGTTACTCAGGTGGTGTCACAATCATCCCAGACCATATCGAATGCTCTTTGCTCTGCCCAGTCCCTTTGCAGGGCAGCAGGAGAAAGAGTTCTGGGTGATAACCAGGAAACAAGAGCTACTCTGATCTGGTCTAAAGTAGCAGGTGAGAGGTCGGGGGTAAGAAGTTTGGGAAGGGTGGAGCCAGCATCAGGAGGAGGGTGTCTGGTGATGGGGAACGTGAAGCTAAGAGGAATACTTCCTTTTCCTTTTTCCTCAGCCCCAGCTCTGCCTTCAACATGACGCCCTCCTCCACTCCACCTAAAATGTGCTTCACTATTTGCCTACAGATTTTTAAGCGTGGAAGAACACCAAGAATTCATCTGTTCTGGTGCTTTCCCACTAAGATAATGCGATACTGCTTATTTTGCATCCTTGCAATAAAACCTGAATTTTCATTTTTAAGAAACCTTGAAGCATATAAATTACCGAGTTCCATTGATTTCTAGCTGTGTGAAACTAAATGGCACCCTTCTTAATTTAAACATAAGAAGAGTATCCTGACTATCATTTTCACTGTGAAGAACACTTTTGATGACATTGACACAAAATTCAGGACCTTCACGTCTTTCTCCATCAAACCACATGCTTGTGGCTTCCTTTGAATTCTGTTTTTGATCTATGGTTTCATAAAGGTAAGGCATTTCAGAGATGAGGGAATAATAGCATGCCTACCTACCTCCCGTGTTAAGTATATACTATATTGTGTACAGGATAATTTTCGCTGAGTAACTGATAGTTGGTAAAAATAAAGAGGTCATAGTCGGGCGCGCCGGCTCATGCCTGTAAACCCAACACTTTGGGAGGCGAGGTGGGCGGATCACGAGGTTAGCAGATCGAGACCATCCTGGCTAACACAGTGAAACCCCGTCTCTACTAAAAATACAAAAAATTAGCCAGGCGTGGTGGCGGGCGCCTGTAGTCCCAGCTACTCGGGAGGCTGAGGCAGGAGAAGGGCGTGAACTCGGGAGGCGGAGCTTGCAGTGAGTGGAGATCGCACCACCACACTCCAGCCTGGGAGACACAGCGAGACTCCGTCTCAAAAAATAAATAAATAAATAAAGAGGTCACTTGATGGAGGGAATGTTGGGACCATGGGGGTACAGTCTAGTCCTCTTAGCATGATCTCAGGGAATGCTGAGACAGTAGGGGTGACTCTAGTCTTACTGGCAAAATCAAAATACACATACAAAGCCTACAGTATAAAGTCCAACATCTGTGTTCTAGTCTTCAGCCAATATAGATCATTTTCTCCATTGGAAAATGGAAATAATAACGTCTGTAAAGGGCTGTAGTAGGTACAATGAGGTCGTAAATGTGAAATAACTTTGGGGAAAAATGCTCTAGATAAATTCAAGGTCTTTCACTACATTATCAGACTAAATGTGCCCAACTTTTCTTGGTGATAAACAGTACTTACATTTCAATGGACAATATCCAAATAGCTTGTCTGTGTCATAGTCAGTAGTGGTTCCGCACCAGAGCCATCCATCCGACCGCCCAGCACTCGTGCAATCTGCGTACCACTTGTTTTCAAACTTGAACGGGAATGCACAGGTTGCTCCATTGGCATTGCCTAGTAGCGTATACATGGCTGGAAAAACATATTGACTTGAACTTGGAATGTGAGTGATATTTCTGAACATTAACTTTCCAATAAGAAGCCTACTGAAGGAATTGGTCTTACTGTTCTGATTACACTTGATGCACCCACAGAGGGATTTCTTTTTTTTTTTTTTTTTTTTTTTTTTTTTTTTTTTTTTGGGTATTTTTTTTCCTTCTCCTTCTACCCTAGTCTTTTGCTGGGTACATAGAGCTGTCTGTACTTAGCAAATAACTCTTAGTACCACTTCATTTCCACTGCGTTTTGGGACATTTTCAAACGAGACTAATTTGTTAAGTTGTACCATTTGAAAATGTTCAAATGGTACAATTCAAAGTGGTACCAATGACAGTGGAAAATGAAGTGATACTAGTTAAAGTGGTAATAATAACTCATAGTACCACTTCATTTTCCACTGTCTTTTCCTCCTTCCTCTATTGACACCAGCTTTAACTTCTGAATTTCCTCTGAAACAGTTCTTTCTCTTGATTGGAATCATGGAGCTTTGGAATCTCTAGATTAAAAAAAACCTTAAAGCTGTATAGCCCAAACACATAGTCAATAATTAAATCCCCTCCAACCACTTCTTGTCAAGCCAGCCTTCACCTGAGTTCCTCAACAATGACCATAAGGAAGGATAGACATTTTGGCATTGTTCTCTAATCCCTATCATGAAAAGAAACCACTCAAAACTGTTATATACCATCTACAATCAAGGTTTTTCTTTTCAACAAGTTAAGGCCAACAGATTGAGTGGGAAGCTCTGGGTTCAACTAGAAATGTTAATTGAAACAAACACAGAATCATTGTTGATTATGGTTTGGCTTAAGCCAAAAAGGTTAAGGAAGCTCATCTCTCCACTAAGAACCAAACAATGCACATAGCTACATTGTCCAGTATGTTTAAAGTCTCCATCTTTGTAGAGATAACAACTTTTTACATTAAAGTATTTGACCTCTTGCCACCAACTGACATTCAGAATTTATCCTAGGTAGGAATTCATTACATTTTGCAGATTCTACGACTTGAAAAAGTTCTTAGCTTGTCTCACGCTTGCAATCCCAGCGCTTTGAGAGGCCAAGGCAGGCGGATCACTAGAGGTCAGGAATTGAGATCAGCCTGGCCAAAATGGTGAAACCCTGTCTCCACTAAAAATAGAAAAACTAGCTGGGCATGGTGGCAGGCACCTGTAATCCCAACTACTCAGGAGGCTGAGGCAGGAGAATCGCTTGAACCCGGGAGGCGGAGGTTGCTGTGAGCCGAGATCACGCCACTGTACTCCAGCCTGGGTGACAGAGTGAGACTCTGCGTCAAAAAATAAATCTTAAAAAAAAAGGAAGAAAAATTTCTTAAAAGACATTTAGTCATTTTGATAATATAAAGCTTGTAAAACATGTAGCGCATAGTAAGAGCACAATAATGTGAGTTATTGACCTCTTTTCTTTTTCCTTTACTCATTGTAATTATCAAGTCCTCTTTAAATATTAGGTTTATTTTTAATGACCTCAAAATTCCTTTTTTGTCAAAAAGGTAGTTGTTAATAACTTTAAAATGCGATTCCAGCTTTAGTTCCACTAAGTTATGGGAATGGTCTCCAAATCATATATTGTATTAGGAACACGCTGTATTCAGAAATAATTGCGCCATTCTTAGTCACTGGGATGACTGTTTCTTCGTACAAAGGAAACCAGTCAAGACCACCTTGGGGTTAGTTGTACTGGTCATCATTAGCCAAGAAATGTTCAGCGCTGGATTTACAGATGCCAATGACATATAGCTTTATTTACTTATTTTATTTTTGAGACAGGATCTCACTCTGTCACACAGGCTGCAGTAGGTGGCGCAATGATGGCTCACTGCAGCCTCAATTACCTGGGCTCAAGTAATGCTCCCACCTCAGCCTCCTGAATACCTCGGACTACAGGTGAACACCACAGTACCAAGCTTATTTTTACATTTTGTTTAGGTCTCACTAGGTTGCCCAAACTGGTCTTGAACTCCCGAAATCAAGTGATCCTCTTGCCTTAGCCTCCCAAGGTGCTGGGATTACAGGCGTGAGCCACCACGCCTGCCAGCTTTATTAACTAACTCTGTTTAATAACTACTGAGCCATTCTATACACCCAACACTGATGAGGCCAAAAGAACCCCAACTACCCCACTGACACATCATGTAACTGCAGTCAATTTGTCTTCTTCTTGGAGTCTGAACTTCCAAATAACCATCAAATCCATCTAAGTCTACAATTCTGGTTCCATTCTTCTAAAATAATTCCTATTTTCAAAAAGTTCCACCATTCTACCCCTCCCCCATGTTCTCATCAGAGATACAGAGACCCTACAATACATCCTCTCGACACTGTCTTCAGTTCTAATGTGTGTTCCCAATCTCGTGGTCACTCTGCAGAGCTAGAACTGAGGAGCAGGATCATCTTAAGTGCTGGGAGATCTTTGGGGAGTATGCAAAATGTAGTCAATAGACCCTATGCCACAGAATCACCCGGGTCTTCATAGAAATCATTGAATAGATTCCTGGGGTTTTTCCCAATATGTATATTAAGAATCTAGTAGAAGGGGGAGCTTAGGATCTATATTTTTAACAAACTTTCCAAGTGATTCTTAAGCATATTAAAGTTTGAGAACTATTAGCCCAAACCCTATGTATATTTGTCTCAAAACCAATGGGGAAACAGAAAGGGTAGGGGGTGAGGGAAGCATAATATTATATTTTAAAATAAAATAAAAATCCGATTTCTTAGCGCCAATCTTCCTCAAGTTAAACTCCTCAATTAGCACAATTGTCCCACCTGTGGAATTTGACTCCGTCAAGTTTAATTCACCCTTCTCCTTCCTTGTAATTTTCTGTTGAGTTTCTCCTGAAAGGTTTTTTTTGTGTTCACTTAGCTTGCCCCTCATATCACTTCTAAACCTATATTATGTTTGAAAAATGCTTCAAAATAACTTATTTCTGAGCCCTTCTCTCACCGTACTTCAATTCCTACTCTCCCTTCTTCTGTGCCTAGATGGAAAATGGAAAGCTCACAAATTATTGCCTTATAAAGAACTAAATTGCTATGCTCAGTCTTAGCTGAGATAAGCTAGGTTCAACCAATCTTAGTAGCCCCGTAACATAGCAATTTTGGAAACAGGTTATCTCTTGTCCCCAAAAGTAGGCTCTTTCTCTGACCTTGAGGTTGTTCTAGATAACACTTCACAATAACGAAGTATCCAAACCTAAAATGTGATTATAACATCATCTGACTCAAGAGACCAGCCTTTGTAACAAGCCTTCAAGTTGTGTTGTATTTTTGTTTTGTTTTCTGTGCAGCCACCAGATAGTGAAATTTGGTCAATATAAGAAAGAACTAAATACTCTGATTTTATTTAACCTTCAAGAGGTCAAGAAACCAACTACATATAAGAGGATTCCTCCCACCGCATTGGAGGTATCACCTTCTCTGATGGCTAACTAAATAGACTGCATATTAATTTACAAGCTAATCCTAGAGATTTTATAATCTTCTGATTATTACAGTCTCTAAATACCCATAACCTGACAAAATAAATCAGTAACATTTAGAATCCCATGTCGCCAAGGGATCTGCCGAGATTTCATCTTAGGCAATCTAAATTGGGAAAGAATGTTCTATGGATCATTTTTCCAGGGATAACTTAAAGGAAAAGACATATTTGGCTAAATGTATTTATCACTACAACTTTATAATGTTAACTAGGAGGCTTTGGGTCAAAGACTACAATGAAAACGATTTTCTGAAAAATGTAGCCCATAGTTAAAAAAATAAAACCTCAGAGAAAGTTAAAAGAATGTCTTCCCATTAAGTAAAAATAGCTGAAGTATCATTCAGGACTTTTTAATCACATTTATTCACCATCATGTCCTCAGAATAGTCCTACAGAATAGTTGAAAACACAAAGATGCTGATCAATTGATATTTCTAGTACACGCCAAACAAGAACATGATGATTTTCTTGAATCAGGTTCCAACTAAGAAGACGAGAAAATTTCAACACGAAGGTGAAAATTCCAGGCATCTTACCTTCATAACCTCTGGAGCACAGATTGTCTGTGGTTCCATAGATCTTCCACCTGCTCCATAAACCCGATCCCTTGTAGAGCATAATATTCTTTTCTTGTCTGTTGCCGTAGTTAAAAAATAAATCTTCTCCTTTGATCCCCAAAAGTGTGTCATTTTTGCACTCCCATTTCTGAAATTCACTTTTTGAGTCACAGGCATAGAGAGTGATAGCAACCCAGTCCGTTTTTGATGGCACTCCCAGGCATAATTTAAATGCAACACTCATAATCTGAGATTCGGACACCCATCGGAATTTCTGTGATTCGGCATCCTGGTTGCAAGCTGCGGTTTGGACGGCACTGGGACTCACTGCATCCACGCAGCGCTTGTGATCTTCATTATAGATTAAAAATTGCCTGGTGTCTGTTTAAAAAGAAAGAAGCAGGAAAAGAAGAAGAAAGCAAGCATGGCTAAGTGGATTCATGTAACAAGGACGATCTTTTAGGTCAAAAGTTTCCAACTCTTCCATTTCCCTAAAGACTTAAGATTGCAGGAAAAGAGGTACTGATGACTGTGCCTGGGCCAGCTCTCTTCGAGGATCCCTGAAGCTGGAAGGAGAACCTGGACTGAGGGCCTGCCAAGGTACCAGCCCTCAGCTGGATGTTCTCAAAATGTCCTAGTTCACTGTGAGGAGTCTCATGCAAAGTCCCACCTTACATGCCCAAGGATTGTCCAGGAGTGGAACATACAAGGCAGAAAACAGAAAGGAATAATATCAACTGGGAAAAGAAAATTTGGGTAATACGAATACAATAAACTGTAAAATTAAATGCATGTATGTCCTAGAAAAGGTGTGTGTTTGTTTGTTGTTTTTAAAGGACAAGGTCTCACTCTGTTGCTCAGGCTGGAGTGCAGTGGTGCAATCATGGCTCACTGTAGCTTCCAACTTCTGGGCTCAAGTGATCTTCCTGCCTCAGCCTCCCAAGTAGCTGGGACTACAGGCTTGTACCACCATAACCAACTCATTTTTTATTTTTTGTAGAGATAGAGTCACTGTGTTGCCCAAGCTGGTCTTGAACTCCTGGCTTCAAGCAATCTTCCCACTTCAGCCTCTCAAAGTACTAGGATTACAAGTGGGAGCCACCTCGCCCAGACTAGAATAGGATTTTGTAGTGTGACACATCTCAACACATTTTGGTATTATTTGTTAATAATTTAATAGTGAAGTTTGCAATAAAGGAAAAATCAATGTAAGTTTTATATCATTGGAGAGAATATTTTATGAGAATAACTTTAAAAATAACATTTTTTATATTTGTAATTTGGAACTGGTGATTCAAGTAAATATGTAAGGATGGCTTATACTTAACAGCACATAGCTGCTAGCTGGCAAAACGGAACTTCCTCTTGCAAAAGAGGAAAAAAGGATCTGGTAAGCATTTTTTTTTCCTTTAATTAAATCAAAATTGAGTTCATGTAAAGCTTTCTCTTTTTTCTTTATTGTTAAGGAATAAACAAATGAAAGTAACTGAGTGCTTTGATTTTGTGACATAAACATAAATTAAACACATCTTGTGAAATTTTCCTAAATTCCATGCATTCACCTTGTTCTTTCAAAATGAGCTGGTAGTAGTGCAGATGTTTGAGGTTCTGACTAAATGAGCTCATTATTTTTAATTAAATAATTCCAGCGAAATCAAACAAAGTTAGAATCATACCACTAGTAGCGTCCTTCAGTGTTTCCAAAGCATTTTTGCAAGCTGTATTCTATATCCTGTTCTGAACACCCCAGGGAGGTTAGCACCACTTACACTCTGAGATCAGTTCTAGACCCATAAGCTTAAAGCTTATAATAAATTTTTGCCTCAAAAGATTATTTTCTCCTGACACGCTCCTCTGTATGCTCTTGTCCACACTAGTTCCAGATCTCCTGCCTCTATCCTACCTTGAAATGATCATCTCATCTTTAAAAAAAAACAAACAAAAAACAAAACCTTTATAGCAACATCCAGTCTGGTGCTTGATCAAATATCTGGGTACCAAGACCCAGCCATGTTGACACATAAAATTAACCACTGCAGTATATTTTTGGGTAAAGGTGGTAGATTTCACTATTGCCTTAGAATGCAAAAACAAGCTGAAAATCCAGGAAGATTCCTAGGTTTTTAGCTCATGGATCTTGGGGGATGATGGTGCCAAGAATGAGAAAGAGAAGTTTGGATGTTACGCATTAAATGCTGTCTTACTTAGAGTGAGTAAGACTTACTCTCGCTGCCTCTATGCCACCTGGGTTCCTAGTTCTCTGCAACTTCAAACCTCTGCCTGGGCTCCTCTGCTGGGTTACTCATTCATGCTGCTTTGATTTCTTGGAATTGGAACTCAGTAAAGCCTGGATCCAGACACCTGCCTCTGCTGGCTTCTCTGCACTTGACAACTGTTCACAGAACATGCAATACCTATCCCAATCTCCTCCTGTCTAGCTGAGCTTCCTTCCACACTTGATCTCATTTTGTAACTGCTCGTGCCCTAGTGGGACAAAATGAGTAATTTTCTACCTTGGCAATAAAATGAGAATTTTGATAATATAGGGCTTTGCTCACAATGGAACACAGGAAATAGGAAAATAAAAACGGTTTTTTAAAAAACAGTGACTATGATCATTTACTTTATGCAAAGGTAAATTATCTTCTCTAATCTCAAAATGTAATGAACTCTGAAACTTTTGCCATAGATATATGTAAACTCCACTATACTAGCCTCTAAATTTAATGTAATTTGTTTGTGTTATTCTACCTACTGTTGTTTTTTTTAAAGCTGGACTTATCTTCCACTTTTCAGATAGCTTTGCTTAGTAATACCTCATTGTTAATAATAGTAAATATATCTTCCACCTTATACTTTGGCCATTTTCACTGTATTGTCAAACAACAGTCTTATTAACTGGTCAAATTCAGTCAATTAACTGATTGGCAACCAGTCTTTTAAGAGAAGGCGTTCAAAAATCTTTATGCATGAACAGTGTTCCTCCTTCAGATGTTTTTATACTTGACTTTTATATGCCTAATTTTTATCTGCAGTTCATCTTAATTTCACTCTAAGACAGCATTTAATGAGTAACATCCAAACTTCTCTTTCTAATTCTTGGCACCACCATCCCCCGAGATCTATAAGCTAAAAACCTAGGAGTCTTCCTGGATTTTCAGCTTGTTTTTGCATCCTAAGGCAATAGTGAAATCTACCATGTCTACCCAAAAATACACTGCAGTGGTTAATTTTATGTGTCAACGTGGCTGGGTCTTGGCACCCAGATATTTGATCAAGCACCAGACTGGATGTTGTTACAAAGGAATTCTTTTAAAGATGAGATGATCATTTCAATCAGCCAACTTTGAGTAAAGCAGCTCACCCTCCTCAGCGTGGGTGGGCCTCATCCAGTCAGGCGAAGATCTTAAGAGAAACAAGCTGAAGAAGAACAAAAAGGGGGAATTCCCCAAAGAATGAATTCTGCCTCTGGACTGCTTTATTTCTGTTTTTGTTTGTTCGTTTGTTTTTGAGACAGGATCTTGCTCTGTCGCCCAAGCTGGAGTGCAGTAGTGCAATCACAGCTCACTGCAGCCTTGAATTCCTAGGCTCAAGCGATCCTGCCACTTCAGCCTCCCGAGTAGCTGGGACTATAGACCTGTGCCACCATACCCAGTTAATATTTTTTATTTTTACTGGAGACAGGGGTGTCACTTTGTTGCCTAGGTTGGTCTTGAACTCCTAGGCTCAAGTGATCCTCCTGCCTCGGCCTCCCAAAGTGCTGAGATTACAGGCATGGGCCACCTCACCCAGCTCTAGACTGCTTCAGTCTCAAACTGCAATATCAACTCTCTCCTGAGTTTCCTGCATACTCCTCTACCCCTGCAGGTTTTGGACTTGCCAGCTTCCACAATTGTGTGAGCCAATTCCTTAAATAACTCTCTCTCTCTCCCTCTCTCCACCCTCTTCTCTTCCCTTTCTGTGTACACACACACACACACACACACACACACACACACACATACAACTCTGAATTCATACATATACCCTAATTCATTCTCTTTGCTCCAACTCCATTTACACCATCCCAGGCCAAGCCACCATGGTTTGGCTCTAATCTTCCTCTCTTGAAAATGGAATCATCAAAAAAGATAACACCTGATCTCCCAGTTTTCTGGGAGGAGCCGGGCCTGACTTGTCACCTGATGCCAAATTGCAAAACCTACCTAATATAATAGGTGGTCTTCACTGAGCCACCTACAAGAGTGAGATCTCTTTCTGTTTTTCCCATCTCTTTTGCAGATTGCCTGCGATGTACACCACATTCTGGTTGAATGTTCACTCAATAGTAAAATTCTTTTCTTTCTCATCTACCTTTATGGAGAGGTTTTCTGGGTGGGAAGGAGACTGGGTTTCTAACTACAAGTTCTCAACAACTTAAACCCTGCAAAAGGGAACCACTGTACCCAGGAAAAATACATCCAGCCCCTATATCATTGTTTATTAGAAAGGGAACAGTGACCTGTCTGCCCTCACCACCAACCACACCACCTTTCAGCTCCTCAAACTCTCCAGGCTCACTTCCACATTAGTGACTTCATGTTTTGAGTTCCCTCTTCTTGGGATGCTCACTAAGGTCACAGCTCAAGTGTCAACTTTCCTTTTCTTTCTTTCCTTGAGACAGACCCTTGCTATTTCACCCAGGCTGGAGTACAGTGGCGCCATCTTGGCTCACTGCAACCTCAGCCTCCTGATTTCAAACCATTCTCCTGCCTCAGCTCTGGGATTACAGGTGCATGTCACCACACCCACCTAATTTTTGTATTTTTAGTAGAGGTGGGGTTTCACCATGTTGGCCAAGCTGGTCTCGAACTCCTGACCTCAAGTGATCCGCACACCTCGGCCTCCCAACGTGTTGGGATTACAGGTGTGAGCCACTGCGCCCAGCCAAGTGTCAACATCGTAGCAGGCTGATCATCCTAACTCATTTTATTCTTTTATTTACCATATAATATCCATAACCATCTTAAAATATATTTTTCTTCAATTTGTTTACTAATGTTCTGTCCATAGTCCCCTACTGGAATGTAAATTTCATGAGACGAGGTACTTGATCTTTCTGATTTAGTGCTGCAGTCTCTTTTTGGGGAGCATAAATAATCTCTCAACAAATAATTAGTTGAATGAATGAAAGAATGTTTATTAAGCGGAAGCATCTTAACTAGTAACCCAGATAAATTATTTATCTAATGATAGATTAATGATTACAGGTATGCTGAATATTCATTTTTCCCCTGAAAGCTTATTTTTACTGAAGAGCAATTTAGAAATGTGTATACTTACAAAAAGGGTACTTGGAAATGAAAAGGTTCTGTTTCAATACACACTTATCTATTCTTGTTTCCTTTATTTATCTTTTGCCATTAGGAAGCAGTGTAAGTTTGATATTGCCTTTGCCAGACAATACAAGGAAATGTAAAATTATTGCTCTATGGTGATACATTCATCGTGCATTATTCTTCTCCCCAAGTAATCAGCATGTCATTTTGCCTTTATCATCATCTCTGCAACATGTCTGACTTAAAATGTCATACTTCTTCCTCTGAAGGCGTATTCAAGACGTTGGCCAAAAGGCAGCTTGTGGCATTTTTACCAATATTAACCACACCAACATTTATAAACATTCTATTTTTGTCCATACCAATTATGTTTTTGTAACAGAAATACGGCAAAGATGAACAGATCGACACAGTCGATCTGTTTTAATTTCTCTGCAATCTCTTTTGTAGGATCTAATATGTGAGTTTCTTTTTTTAATACTTACACATCAGAAATTTATATCCAGAATTGCAGTGATTCTCCTTCCATCCTAACTTGATCTTACTAATTTCACATTAATTTTTCAACAAATACTTGACAAACAATGACCACACGCCAGATGCTATGCTAATGACAATACAAAGACAAACAAAAGACATAAGTTTCCTGCCATGTTGAGCACACTCTCTGCTGTGGTTAACTCAAAGGCAAAAAGATCAAGGATCAAAATACATTTAGTAAAGAAGCAATAAGTTTCAACCCAATATCTCAGGTTAAAAATGATTAAAGACTAAACATCCAGTAACATGCAATAAGTTTCAACCCAATATCTCAGGTTAAAAATGATTAAAGACTAAACATCCAGTAACATAGGTGTGGATTTTCTTTCTTTTTTTTTTTTTTTTTTTTGAGACAGAGTCACTCTGTCGCCCAGGCTGGAGTGCAGTGGTGTGATCTCAACACGTTGCAACCTCCGCCTCCCAGGTTCAAGCGATTCTCGTGCCTCAGCCTCCTCAGGAGCTGGGACTATAGGCATGTGCCACCACACACCCAGCTAATTTTTGTATTTTTAGTAGAGATGAGGTTTCACCATGTTGGCCAGGCTGGTCTCGAACTCCTGATCTCAAGTGATCCACCTGCCCCGGCCTCCCAAAGTGCTGGGATTACAGGCATGAGCCACCGCGCCTGGCCTGGATTTTTTTTAAGCATTTTTAAAATTATGCCGCAACATTGAACAAGTCATTAAATTCCCAAGCCTACTAGCAAAGAAAATTTGGTTATTAAAGGTGATTGTTCAGGGAGATAAGTATGATATGCTACATTTTCTTATACATTTTTAGATTTTCCTGACTATCAGCAAATAAAATGCTGACATTGGAACACAAAAGACAATAACTTCTGGAAGACAGAGAAGCCAGATAAGAGGAAAAGCAGCAAGTAGCTGTAGCAGATGCCTCCAGATTTATACTATTTCTCCTCGGCCTTCGCTGTTTAGGTGCATGCAGGCCCCACTCCCAAACGCCAGCACCACGCCTTTTGCCCTGGGGGCTTTTTCTGGCTATCAGAGCCCTCTAGGCTCAAACATGGCACAAATTAGATGGGTCAGAAAACGAATGCCCTGTAGGAGGAAGCCTTCATCAGAGGCCAAGGAGAACCGCTGACGGCTCTAAATCTCTTGTACCTTGGATGTGATGAGTCCAAGGCAACCATTCCACACCGTCGCCCAGAGCTCCTACACTCCATTGCCCACAGCGGTCACTGGGTGTCCACACACCTTCCCTTTCTGTCTCACTTCCCCGTTACCCTGTCAGTGTTTCCTGGGCTCACTTCCCAAATAAACTAACTTGCCCTCAAACCAGAGTGCAATTGTCTGAGGACAGCTTCTTGGGGAATCCAAACTAAGAAATATGTTCACCAGCCTCAGTTAAATAAATGTACCTATGTTTTCCCCAAAGACCCCAAATTCAGTGAAAAACAAATATTTACCCTGCACCTAGTACATTCAAGAAGCTATGCCAGGTGCTGGGGGCTGATGGAGGGTGTTAGTCAGTCTTAGGCTTAGAAATGTTGAACAGGAGGCCAAGGCAGGCGGATCACCTGAGGTCAGGAGTTCGAGATCAGCCTGGCCAACATGGTGGAACCGCGTCTCTACTAAAAATACAAAAATTAGCCTATGTGGTCGCACATGCCCGTAATCCCAGCTATGGGGGGCTGAGGCAGGAGAATCTCTTGAACCCACAAGGCGGAGGTTGCAGTGAGCCAAGATCGTGCCACTGCACTGTAGCCTGGGCGACAGAGTGAGACACCATCTCAAAAAAAAAAAGAAAAGAAAAAGAAATGAAATGTTGAACAAAAGAAAAAAAAACAGAGAATTACTTCATTTGTCACTTTGATCCTTCATTCAGACCCAAAATATTCAGGGAAACTACTGATTTAGGTCATTGCAACTGGCCATTTGGAAAAGTACATAATATGAACCCAGTATGGGTCTGACCACAAGGACAAAACAGAGGCCAAGAAACTCTTCCAACTTCCCTCCTACCACCTTAAAGATATGAATATCTACACCTTCCCGGGGCCATTCGCTCCCAAGTCAGTAGAAGAGGCTTCCTTCCTCCTGCTGACCGCCCTACCTGTGTCCTGGACTGTGAACCCTCCTACTTCTCCACAGCTAGTTTCTGCTCTCACTCCTATTTCTTCAGCCTCTGAATGCCAGCCTCCCCAGATCCCCCTTAAGATAAATAAACAAAACCCTTTACTAGGTAAGAAGCTGACACCACACTGCTCTTTCTTCTTCCATGCATAGCCCCACTAATTCGTTCACCTTATGTATGTATCATGTCAATCTGATCATGACATAATCAGAGCTCTAGGATTTGGCTCCCAGGTAACAGACTCCGCTGCTCGCTGACTGTGTGACCTTGGCCAAGTTCAACATTACTCTGTGCTTCCACTTCCCCATCTGTAAAATAAAGGGGGAAATAGCAGGACCTCCTCATTGTCGTGAGAATGAAATGAGATCATCTAAATAAAGTGCTTAGAAGAGTTCCTGACACAGGAATTGCTTAATATATATTCATTATTATTATTGTTAACTTGGCAAAATCAGTCGTACAGACAGTGTGAGATGTTTCAGAATAAGATGAAATGAAAGAGCAGAGAACTGTTGCAGCAGTGCAGAAAGAGGGACCGGCCAGGCACGGTGGCTCCCGCCTGTAATCCCGGCACTTTGGGAGGGCAAGGCAGGAGGGATCACCTGAGGTCAGGAGTTCGAGATCAGCCTGGTGAGCATGACCAAATCCCGTCTCTACTAAAAATACAAAAATTAGCCTGGCAGGGTGGTGCACGCCTATAATCCCTGGAGAATCACTTGAACCCAGGAAGCAGAGGTTGCGGTGAGCCGAGATGGCGCCACTGCACTCCAGCCTGGGCGACAGAGCGAGACTCTGTCTCAAAAAAAAAAAAAAAAAAAAAAAAAAGAGGGACGGAAGGACCGAGAACACGGAACTGCAGGGTTTCTAGCCTCAGGGGATGTGGTGTGGAGGGTTATCTTCTTTGGGGTTGATAGGCTTGCAATCAAATCCTGGTTCCACCATTTTTTAGCTGTGATGCCTTAGTGCTATTAGCCATTCTAGCCTCTACTTCCTCATCTGTAAAATGGGGACAATAATGCTGTCTGGTAAAGCTACCGTGAATTTCTAAATGAGATCATTTATGTAAAGCACCCAGCATATTATCTGCATCTAATACACACTTGATAAATATTAATTCCTTCCTTTCCCCCTCTTGAAGTGAAAAGTCTAAAAAAATTGATACAGATAAAGGGATCTAAGTCCTTCTTCTAACATAGTGTTATTTTGAACCACATTATATCTTTCCTGATCAACACACTCCAGGTAGTAAATTTATCTACTTCTTAGCCTCAGAGTCTAAAGATCATAATGAAGAGTTAGCTCTGGTCTTTACTGACTACCTGACTTCTGCAAGCCACTGAATCTTCAGAGCTTCAACTTTCTCACATAGGGAAAGGTGCACAATGACATCTTCCCATCTGCTTTATGGGAAGCTATGGGTCCCTGAGGTCTAAGTTTCTACTACAGTTATTCATGTGCAATATTTGTAGATTAAACCAAAAGCTGCACAACTGTCAAAACCTAAGGTTGAGCATGGTGGCTCATGCCTGTAATCCCAGCACTTTGGGAGGCCGAGGTGAGCAAATCACTTGAGCCTAGGAGTTTGAGACCAGCCTGGACAACATGGCAAAACCCCATCTCTACAAAAAAACACAAAAGTTAGCCAGGCATGGTGGCATGCACCTGTGGTGCCAGCTACTTAGGAGGCTGAGGTGGGAGAATCACTTGACCCCGGGAAGTCAAGGCTACAGTGAGCAATGATCATGCCACTGCACTCCAGCCTGGATGACAGAGTGAGACCCTGTCTCAAAAAAAAAAAAAAATATATATATATATATATAATGTGTGTGTGTGTGTGTGTATATATATATATGTATATATTTATATATATAAAATCTAGCCCTATGTTCCAAAGCATAAAAGTTAGCTCAGCCTTCTAGATACAAACACTGAGAAAGATGGAGAACAAATTTAAAAAGGAGAAAGGTGCTTGTATTTTTCTCCCACTTAATTCAGTTTTGTGAAAAAATACACTGAAGAATCAATATTTACCATAAGACATACATTTATATTGGAATCAAAGTTTTCAAGAGTGCTTGTGAAAAACCACTACTGTGATAATCACATGATAATAATTATCTTTCTTAGCATTTCAACGAGGGAAATGAAATAGAGGAGTATCAGGATTATACCATTAGCGTGATGTCTATGTCAGAACCACAGTTGGATCCCTTCCAGCCAAATGTGAGACCCGCAAATGGCAACAGGAATAACCTAATTTGCACTTACTTGATCTAACAGCGCAGCAAGAAATCTAAGGGGATGTGGAAAAGTACAAGCCGTTGAGCAAAGTCCTGGATCTACATCTACCTGCTAAACAGTCACCTTCTGGACATTTTACCTCCCTGAGCCTGGTGCTTCATCTATAAAATGATGATGTCAAAATGCATCATTTCCTAGTTTGTTCTTGCTTTAATGGTCTATGATTCTAAGGCTTCTCTGTCCACCAAGACGTCTCTCATTATCATTTTTTGCAGATGTTCTAGGCTTTTCATGATACTACCTGACCCACTGTTTGAGCGCCTTCCCAGAGCCTAGAAAGGCTCCATATTGCCCTGGGACCAATAGCAGCAGCTAGCAAGAGCCTATTGTTGGCCAGGTGTGGTGGCTCATGCCTGTAATGTCAGCACTTTGGGAGGCTAAGGTGGGCAGATCACGAGGTCAGGAGTTCAAGACCAGCCTGGCCAACATGGTGAAACCCCATCTCTACTAAAAATAGAAAAAATTAGCCGGGTGTGGTGGCGGGTGCCTGTAATCCCAGCTACTCGGGAGGCTGAGGCAGGAGAATTGCTTGAACCCACGAGGCAGAGGTTGCAGTGAGCCAAGATCACACCATTGCACTCAAGGCTGGGTGACAGAGAGAGACTCCATCTCAAAAAAAAAAAAAAAAAAAAAAGCCTACTGTTGGCATCTCTTCCCAACTCTGCCCCCAGGGGCATCAAGTCAGTAGCTTGAAATCAACCATGGTGGGAATATTTACAGCATGGACATCAGTAAACAGCAAAACAGCATAAGTCAAATCAGTGCTTCCTTTCTTTTCCTTCTTGGAACCAGTAGTTGTTTGCCAATACACCACTACCTGTGAGCCAAACCCTCCCATTTCCAAGTTAAACTTCTTTGCTGTGGTCTAACCTCTGTGTCCCACCGGCTCTCATGGTGCATCTACCATGATTATAACCCAACTGAGCTGGAAACCTTGCTGCTGAGTGCTAAAAAGATAGTGCGGCAAGAACAACAGTAGGAAAGGTGAGCGTCTAGCCCTGTTAACCTCTAGACTCCTGGACCCCTCCAGGGAGAACCAGCCCATCCGTTGGCAGCAGCCCACAGAGACTTATGGTGCTAATGCTGTGGGATGCTCTCCTGAAGGTGGAAGGAAGGGGTGTGGATTGAAAAGAAATAAACTGATGGCAAGTAGGGAGACCTTCCCATGGGTTTTCCTAGTGGGCAGGAAGCCAGGGGAGAGGTGTTGGGGCTTCGCATAGTTTAACCTGCTGCTAACTAAGCAGGTGCCCTGCCTTTACACAAATTCCTCCAATCACATGCTTCTCGGGCCAAGAAAAGATAAAATAAAAGTTACAGGCTGGGTGCAGTGGCTCACATCTATCATCCTGCACTATGGGAGGCCAAAGTGGGAGGATCACCAGAGCCCAGAAGTTTGAGATCGGCCTGAGCAAGATAGTGAGACCCCATCTCTACAAAAATAAAAAAAAATAAAAAAAATTAAAAATTAGCCTGGCATAGTGGCTCAAGCCCAAAGTCCCAGCTACTGGGGAGTTGGGAGTGGGCCAAGGTGGGAGGATTGCATGAGCCCAGATGTCAAGGCTGCAGTGAGCCATGATCACACCACTGCACTCCAGCCTGGGTGACAGAGTGAAACCAGTCTCAAAAAACAAAACAACACAAATTACAGGCTTTCACGTAGGAAAAAAAAATCTGGAAGGGGGGTCCCTTGAATTTTTTGTTTGTTTATTCTCCAAGTAAACAGATCTTCAGCATCCCCCTTCTCTCCCCAATATTTGTGCCTATGAAGAGGAAGACATTAGTCAGAGGAGGGCATCCTGCTGTCAGGAAGAGGGAAACACTCCTGAGCAAACCGAGAAACACTATTGCTCAAAGCATTATTGAGTCAGTTTAAAGAAAATTAGGCACTGTGTCTGTGCTGCCCAGTATGATAGCCAGTCACCTCATGTAACCATTGTACACTTAAAATGACACTACTGTGAATTGAGACATGCTATAAGTATGCAATACTCACCAGATTTTGAAGAGTTAGTTTTAAGAAATGAATGGGAAAATATTCCAAATCGATTAAATGTTGAGGGATAATATTTCCGAGTTACTGGGTGAAATAAAATACATTAATAATATCAGGGCTGGGCGCTGTGGCTCATGCCTATAATCCCAGCACTTTGGGAGGCTGAGGAGGGCAGATCACTTGAGGTCAGGAGTTCGAGGCCAGCCTGGCCAACATGGTGAAACGTTGTCTCTACTAAAACTACAAAAATCAGCTGGGCATGGTGGTGCATGCCTGTAATCCCAGCTACTTGGGAGGCCGAGGCAGGAGAATCACTCGAACCCAGGAAGTAGAGGTTGCAGTGAGCCAAGATCATGCCACTGCACTGCAGCCTGGGCAACAAAATGAGAATCTGTCTCAAAAATAAAAATAAAATTAATTTCATCTATCCTTTTTATTTGGCCTTTTATGTACTTCTTTTCTGCCACTGATTTTAATAGCTAACACTTATAAGGCACTTACTATGGGTCATACTCTGTTCTAAACATTTCACATATTGTTACTCATTGAATCATCACAAGAACTGATGGGGGCAGGTAATATTATTCTTTCCATTTTATAGACATGGAAACTAAAGCACAAAGAAATAAAGTAGCCTGCCCAAGGTCGCAAAGCTAGTGAGTGAGAGAGACAGGATGTAAACCATACCGCCTTCACTTGTGTTTTTGTAATCACTACCACTCAATACTTATGATTTAACATTTGCGGTACTAAAACACTCTCTTCCTAGGAAACTTCCCACCCGCCTTCACATCAGTGCATAGAGTAGATCGTAGGCACAAACCATTCTCTGCAAGTGTTTGTTGATTTCATAGAATTAAAGGGGGATCAGAAATCAAAAAATCAAATTTGAAATCTCTTCTAAATCATCTCCAAATAGAACCAGGAATGAAAATCCCCCGAGGCACTCCCATCCTGAAGTTTAAGCAACTGAGTATAGAGAAATAGAAAAGACAGACTGGAAAAGGTATTTGAGAATTTGAACAACTCTGGAGCTGTTCCTAATGAGTAATCTCTAATCTCCAGAAAAAGAAGAAAAACAGGAATCGATCTGCTTATGCGGCAGTTTGAATAGTCTAGAATACAGATAAGGATGAACTTTCTAACAATCAAGTGTCTGAATGATTCTGGCAGAAAAAAAAATGAGTATGGAAATTGCTTAGAATCTCTTTTGGGGGGATGATCTGCGATGATACCCTCGGACCTAAGACGCGGGGAGACATCAGGGCTGCCCTCCTTCCAGCCAGAGACACTCAGAAGGTGTTTGTTGGCGGTGAGACAGAAATAGTGTGAATTGAAAACCAGAAAGAGTAAACCACAGAGCAGGAAATTTCTGCACGAAGAAAACAGGGAAGGAACAACGAGCGATGAGAGAAGTCAGGAGGACACTGAAGGTCTGTAGGGTTCCCGGCAGGGCAGCAACCGAGACCTGAGACGCATCCTCCTCCCTCCTCCAACTCCAGGCCTCCCATGCCTGGCCGCCAGGTGAAGGCAGCAGGCTTAGCCGTGGACTGCGTGGTGCAGGGGAACCCCGTTTCCTCCTCACAAAGATGTTGAAAGGAACCCATTCACAGTAACCCAGAAGAGGAAGGTGTGGTTCCGGCCCCCCAGGTCAGAGATCCCCTGCCTCAGAGCAGACTTACCCAGTAGGAGAACAGCACCCGGAATGACAGAGGCAAAAACCAGGAGCAGGGGTAGCCTCATGGCCCAGGGTTTATCCTTTCCTTCTCCTGATGGACAGGAGGGCGGAACTAAGACGCAAAACAACGAGGCCCCCCAACTGCCTCTCCACCTAATCCAAGTTCCCAGAGCTGCCCAGCTGAAAAGAACTACAGAGGAAGCCCTCCCTTTTAAAGGGCTCCTGAATTTAGGGAAAGCCTCTACTGAGGAGACATCCTGTCACATGAGGGTGGCTGGAAAAACAGGAATTCAAAGTAACAACTTTGCTTCGTAAGCTAACTTCTGAGAAGAGCAGACGCAGAGGAAGGGGAGAAAGGGACACGTGTGGGAGAGGAGTGGCGGGGTGGGGAGGAGAGAGGGCGATGGTGATGGTGAGGAGTCAGGAAGGAGAGAAGTGAAACAGCCTGGGAGCTCCCGGCCTGCTCAGATGGGGCTGGGTGGAGATCAAGCTGCAGGCCATTACCTGTGCCGGAAGACGGAGCTTCCCCTGGGAAGCAGCTGAGTCAGGGGTCCCTCAGCAGACAACCTCCACTCTGAAGTGACAGCCACACGGGCCCTGGAAAGGACAGTTTTACGCTGGAAACACTTCAGAGTTGAAGCTCATCCCCTTCAGTTTCCACATTCAGTGCTTAGAGCCTTTCTTTTTTTTCTTGGAAAGTTTCAACAGAAAGTTCCGTGGAGCTTCATTTCCTCCAGGCAGAAGAAAAGTGAAAAGGAGGCTACACCTAAGAGGGAATGTCAGTCAGGCCAGGAAGGAGAAAGTTCTAGAAACCTTTTGCTAGAACGTTCTCTAGAAAGCCAGAAAAAACAGTGGTAAAGGATTTGCAGTAAAGCCTTGCTGCCCAGCCTCAACCATCCCGGTCCTCTTCAAGTTTAAGTGGGTCCCCTTGCTAGAAAAAGAAAATCTGGCCAGGCACAATGGCTCACGCCTGCAATCCCAGCAGTTTGGGAGGCCGAGGCAGTCAGATCACCCGAGGTCAGGAGTTTGAAACCAGCCTGGTCAACATGGCAAAAACCCGTCTCTACTAAAAATACAAAAGTTAGCCGGGTGTGATCATGCACACCTGTAAGCCCAGCTACTCAGGAGGCTGAGGCAACAGAATCGTTTGAACCTGGGAAGTGGAAGTTACAGTGAGTCAGGATCGCACCACTACACTCCAGCCTGGGCGACAGACGCGAAACTCCATCTCAAAAAAAAAAAAGAAAAGAAAAAAAAGAAAAAGAAAATCTGATTGTTTGGTCAAAAGGTATATCTTTATTTAAAGGCAAGTGGAATTCTTTCTTAGAATAAAATATGTTTCTAGATCTTTCATTAAGCAGAAAATAACCCTCCAAACATTTATGTTGTCATTTTTCAAAAGTAGAACAGGAATTTAGAACATTTTAAAGCAGAAACTAACGATTAGCTGGCCAAACCGTTACTAGAGTGTGGAATATGTTAGTAATTCAAAAAGAAGCTACTGGAAACATTGTAATTTTTAAAATTTTTTAAATGAATAGTTTTATCTTCAAACGGAAAGCCTCCACATTCGTTGTCTTTGTGATAAAGTTGAAAAGTTTCCATCCTATTAGAAATGTGATGTAGTTCTCTTACTGATTGTTTTTAACATGTAAATTTGAGATTATCCTGACCGGAGGGAAAAAGATAGTGAAAATGTAGGACAGAGGACCAAAGTTTCTTTGTCACTAAGGCTGTACATGACTGAAAAAAAAAATGATGGTTATAGAACAGAACAGACAAAACAAAAATGTTTCTCAGACATTGTTTCACTGGCTTATGAAAATAATAGTTTAAATGGGTCATTTGTGGCTTTCAAATATAAATAAATCATATACAAAAGTGACTGCCTAATTTACATTTATATATATTTCAGAAGCAAATACATTTAATTGAATTATGTATATAATCACATTCAGGGTTGGTTTGTTTCTTTGAGACAGAGTCTTGCTCTGTCGCCCAGGCTGGAGTGCAGTGGTGCAATCTGGGCTCACTGCAACCTCCACCTCCCGGGTTCAAGCGATTCTCCTACCTCAGCCTCCCAAGTGGCTGGGATTACAGGCGCGTGCCATGATGCCCAGCTATTTTTTGCATTTTTAGTATAGACGGGGTTTCACCATGTTGGCCAGGCTGGTCTCAAACCCCTGACCTCAAGTGATCCGCCCGCCTTGGCCTCTGAAAGTGCTGGGATTACAGACGTGTGCCACCATACCTGGCCCAGGGTTTGTTTTTTAATTACATAAGTGTGTATATCACATTAGTAAAATTAAAAATTAGGATCAGTACTAAAATCTGTGAAGTTTAAACAAAATGCAGCCAACCACCCCACAAAGAATTTACCCCATGACCTTGACCTCGTTGAAACAAAGATTTATCAGGCTACAAGAGGCCACTGGGGCAAAAAATAAATCCAAATCTTGGGGAAGGGATGTCACAGAAGATGGTGGTGTGGGAAACTCCAGGAATTCATCCCTCCATCTAAGCAGCCATCAAATGGACAGGAACTGACTGAAGTAACTGCAGGTGCTCCTCTACTCATGATCAAATTAGGCCCTGTTAAACCCAATGTGAGTTGAAATATGCTAAGTCAAAAATGCACTTAATACACCTGACCTACCAAACATCACGGCTCAGCGTAGCCTACCTTAAACGTGTTGAGAACACTTACATTAGCTTCCAACTGGGCAAAATTGATAGGGACAGGAGGCAGAGAAGTGCTAGGTAGAGAAGGGCAGGATCCCTGGCGAGGGCTCCACCCTCGGACCTGTGCCCACGGACCTAAGTGGGAACAGGCACTCCTGTTTTCATGCGCAAATGTTACATTTCCAAGACCACTATGATTCACCACACCCCGCATCCTGTGCCCATAAAAACCTGAGACCTTAATGGGCATAGACACAAGCGCTAAACATTGAGAAGAGTGAAGGAATAGAGCAGTGGAGAGCAGTGGGGTGGCGCAGCAGAGAAAGAGAGAAGAAGGACATCTGGACACCAAGGGGAGTTTGGCCAGCAGTGGTTGGAGAATAGTCTGGGGGGTTAGGCAGCCTGGCTCCAGGGGAAGACCACCTTCCCACTCCACTCCCCACTTCCAGTTCCCCATCCATCTCGCTGAGAGCCACCTACACCACTCAATAAAACCTTGCACTCAACCCTCCAGCCCACATGTGATCTGATTCTTCCAGTACACTGGGCAAGAACTCAGGCTGTCACACTGCCTCCCTGTCCTTGTGATAAGGCAGAGGGTCTATTGAGCTGACTAACACAAGCTGTCTGCAGATGGTATAGCTGAAAGAGCACACTGTAACACACGCCCACTTGGGCTTCAGGAGTCCTAGATGCTGCCGTGGGGTGGAGCCCAAAAGCACTCCCCACAGCCTCTGCACCTGCCCATCTGCATGCTGCATGCTCCCCCCTAGGGGTTTGAGCAGCAGGGCACCAAAGGAGCAAGCCTCATTCCTGTCGCACCCCCTGCGAGGGTCATAAGGGAACTCTTCTATTTCAAAATCATCTAACAAAACCTATTTTATAATACAGTGTTGAGTATCTCGTAATTTATTGGATATGGTACTAAAAGTGAGAAGCAGAATGGGTGTATGGGTATTCGAAATACATTTTCTACTGAATGCACCATTTCTATTTCACATCATCATAAAGTGGGTAAATCATTATGTCTAACAATCCTAAGTCAAGGACCATCTGTATTTGGGAACTAGTCTAGTCAGAAACTTGGAGCATCCAAGGGAGAGCTTGATAAAGAGGCTGGTACATTTCAGCGAATTTCAGCTTCTCCCTGTGGTTATGGCTGTGTCAGGCAGCTGTGAAGGGGGAAGCAGCCCACACGCCCAGTGCAGCTAGGTGAGGCCAGGCCGGGCAACAAGGATTTAGCCCTCCAAATGTCAGGACTGTGTGTTCTGATTGGTGCTTTTATTTGCTTTCATCACTTCTCTTCAACTTAGTACTGGAAGTTCTAATAAGAGCATGTAGGAAAGAAAAAAATAAATAAAAGCATCCAAATTAAAAAGGAAGAAGTGAAATTATCTCTGTACACAGATGGCCTGATTTTAAATGTAGGAAGTCCTAAAGCTTACACACACACACACACACACACACCACACACAAATACCACATACACATACACAATAGACACATACACACCACACACACACACCACACACACATACATACACACGCCACACACACACACATACACACCACACACACAAACTGTAGCACTAACAAATTTAACAAAGTTGCAGGACACAAAATCAAAACACAAAAATCAGTTGAATTTTGATACACTTGTAATGAACAATCTGAAAATAAAATTAAGAAAATTCCATTTGCAATAGAATCAAAAAGAACAAAATACTTAGGAATAAATTTAACTACGTAGACAAAAGACTTGTCCACTGAAAACTACAAATGGTTGCTGAAAGAAAAAGACCTAAATAAATGAAAAGATACCCTGTGTTCATGAAATGGAAGACTTGATATTGTTAAGATGTCAATATTATCCAATATAATCTATAGATTCATGCAATCCCTATCAAAATCCCAATGATTTTTTTTTTTTGCAGAAATGAAAAACCCCATCCTAAAGTTCATATGGAATTTCATGGGAGTCTGCACAGCCAAAACAATTTTGAAAAAGAATGAAGTTGAACGATTCACACTTCCTGATTTCAAATCATACTACAAAATGACAGTAATCTAAACAGTGTGGTACAGGCATAAGGATAGCCATATAGGCCAATGGAATACAATAGAGAGGCCAGAAATAAACCTATGTGGGCAGTTGATTTCCAACAAGGTGCCAAAAGCATTCAATGAGGAAAGAACAGCATTTGTGCTGGGAAAACTGGCCATCCACAGGAAAGAGAATGAAATTGGACTCTTACCTTACATTAAATACAAAAATTAACCCAAAGTGGATCAAATGCCTAAACATAAGAGCTAAAAACTATAAAACTCTTAGAAGAAAACGTCAGGAAATAAAATCTTCACAACATTGGATTTGACAATGATTTCTTGGATTGGATACCAAAAACACAAGCAATAAAAAAGTAGATAAAAAGGCCTTTATCACAGTTAAAAACTGTGTCCACCAAAGTACACTATCTAGAAAGTGAAAAGACAGCACAAAATAGAAAATATCTGTAAATCACATATCTGATTAAGGGATGAATATCCAGAATATATTAACAACTACAACTCAATAACCACAACAAAACCAAATACAAAATGGTCGGTGGACCTGAACAGATAATTCTCCAAAGAAGATATACAAGTGGCCAATAAGCTAAGCACATGTAAAGATGCTCAACATCATTAGTCATTAGGGAAATGTAAATCAAAACTACAATGAAATAGAATTTCACACCCAAAAGAATTATTACTTTAAAAAAACAGAAAATAACAAGTGATGGTGAGAATATGAGAAATTGGAACCCTCGGGCATTGCTGGCGGGAATGTAAAATGGTGTAGCCACTGCGGAAAACAGCTTGGCAATGCCTCACAAAGTTACACTATAATTATCATACGATCCAGCAATTCTACTTCTAGGTATATACCCAGAAGAACTGAAATTAGGGACTCAAACACATATTTGTACAACAATGTTCAAAGAAGTTTTACTTATGATAGCCAAAAAGTAGAAGCAACTCAGGTGTCTGTTAGCAGATAAACAAATGTGGTATGAACATACAGTGGGATATTATAGAGCCGTAAAAAGGAATCCTGATACCTGCTATATGTACAACCTTTCAACATTTTGCTAAGTGAAATAAGCCAAACATAAACGGACAAATATTATGTGATTCCACTTATGTGAGGTATATAGAATAGGTAAATTCAGAGACATAGGAAGAAGAGAGTTTACTAAGGGGTGGGAGGTGGAGGATGGAGGAGAATGGAGAGTTATTGTTTAATGGGCACAGAGCCCATTGGATGTTGGATGATGAAAAGTTCTGGAAATACAGAGTGGTGATAGTTAAACAACATGGTGAATATGTTTAGAGCCATTGAATTGTACAGTTGAAATGACTACAATAATAATTGTGTTATGTATCCTTTACCAAACTTTTTTAAAAATCCAACTCATGCCATCCTGTCTACACCCTTCTACTAAGTTCTGGTTCTGAATTTTGGTTAGCTATTGATGATGGTGGTTATTTTTAACTAGTCCTTTCTTCAAGCTAAAATATAAAGGAAATTCTCATTTTTTTATTGGCAAGACAATCAACTGTGTCATTTCCTCCTAGACTTTCTCAAACACCAGCCACCTCCTACCCACTCAGTTTCACGTATGATGAACTTAGTGTCTGCTTTGCTCTGAAATAGTTCCAAGAAAAATAGCTGGGCAAAATTTTTCATAACCTGTTACATCATTTCTCACAGATAAAACTGGTAAGCCCTTCAGAAATGGTGTTTTCAGTAAGCCTATCTTTTAATGAACAAATTTATTCAACTCTTATCAACATAATTCCTACCAGCCAAAAGAAAAAAAAGATATTTTTGAGTAAAAATTTAAAAATTTAGATGTTCTTATACCTCATATTTTTCAGTCCTTACCAAAACCATAGCAAAACATCAACAATGCATTTACAGTTTAATAGAAAACTACTATATCATAGCAATCCAATTTCTTTGCATTCAATTACTTACATAAAATTAGGCTTTAATTGTAACTGTCTTCAGATAACATATTTAGACTTATTGTAATCAACAGTGTGTAGATTCATAGTATTTGAAGGACCTTTGAATTTTGTATTTCTATAACCAATACTTTGTTTCATTTGGTTTTGTCTTGGCACACATCGTTTTAATATACTAAATTTTACAAAGTAATTTAATTAAAAGGCTATTTGACCCATTTAATTTTTGAAACAAATTTTTTTTTTTTGAGATGGAGTGTCGCTCTGTCACTCAGGCTGGAGGGCAGTGGCGCAGTCTCAGCTCACTACAAGCTCCGCCTCCTGGGTTCACGTCATTCTCCAGCCTCAGCCTCCCCAGTAACTGGGACTACAGGCACCCGCCACTACGCCTGGCTAATTTTTTGTATTTTTAGTAGAGATGGGATTTCACCGTGTTAGACAGCATGCAGGATGGTCTCGATCTACTGACCTCGTGATCCACCCGCCTCGGCCTCTCAAAGTGCTGGCGTGAGCCACTGCGCCCGGCAGAAACAAATTTTAAGAATAAGATTAAACATGTGTTTATAATCTGAAAGTGACCTATACTTTACAGATGGAAACCAAGACACAACAATGTTGGGCTGGTTCTTCAGAACAACACTTACTATGTAAGATTATGTATAATTTTTAGCAATTTGAAACGCAAATTTTCTATTTATTCACTCAAATATTCTGAACACCTCTAAGGTATCTGAGTTAAATATTTAAAAGAAAAAAGTTTTGTAGAGAAAGAAGGCATTCCTTAAAAATCCATTATTTCCATTTCAATATAAGAATAATTACAAGTTAAAATAAAAAATAATCTTATTAAAAATAGGCATATCTTGGGAAATTAAGATGTGTGTATATATAAATGCACACTTTCACAGCAAGTGTTACTTTAGTAAATATTATCCTCAAATTCATATAAAACCATACCTAGTCTATAACAGGCACTCAAATTTGTCAAATGACAAATTAATGAAATTTCCAAAAAATAATCTTCAGGATATGGTAATATATGTAAAAGCTCTTGTAAATAATTGTTAATACAAATATCTCAGGTTACTAAAGCTATTAATCACTAGTACTCAGGGATGTAGAGGTTGTGCATTGTTCAACCTGAAGGGGCGCTGTATGATTTAGAATTCATTAATTAATCTCACCTGTAAACATTGGAAACACCTTTCGAATGCAGTTGGATCTGGTTCTCAGTGTCTCTGTGTGGGCAGGTGTACATGGCTCTCTGTTTCTCTATTTTTTCACCTTCTGACTCTACTGTTTGTGTGTTTGGATTCGATTACTACAGAGCACAGAAGGTGGATGTGAGACAGACAACCAGGAAGCTGAACATTGTATAAGAGCTGTGACGGTTAATATTCAGTGTCCACTTGATCGGATTGAAGAATACAAAGTATTGTTCCTGGGTGTGTCTGTGAGGGTGTCGCCAAAGGAGATTAACATTTGAGTCAGTGAATGGGGAGAGGCAGACCCACCCTCAATCTGGGAGGGTACCATCTCATCAGCTGCCAGCACAGCTAGGATAAAAGCAGGCAGAGGAACGTGGAAGGACTAGACTTGCTGAGTCTTCTGGCCTCCATCCTTCTCCTGTGCTGGATGCTTCCTTCCCTCCAACATTGGACTCCATGTTCTTCAGCTTTTGGACTCTTGGACCTACACCAGTGGTTTGCCAGGGGCCCTCGGGCCTTTGGCCACAGACTGAAGACTGCACTGTCGGCTTCCGTATTTTTGAGGTTTTGAGACTCGGACTGGCTTCCTTGCTCCTCAGCCTGCAGATGGCCTACTGTGGGACTTCACCTTGTGATCGTGTGAGTCAATACTCCTTAATACACTCCCTTTCATATATACATCTATCCTATTAGTTCTGTCCCTCTAGAGGACTGACTAATACAAATGCATCCTCTCATAATGAAACAGCCATCACAAGAGATTTGTTTAAACATAGAATTTTAATTAACATGTAAAAACAGCCCCATTGTAAAACAAAATGTCTTTAGCCATTTCATTTTTTTCTTCTATTATTTACTATATCTTCTATGGAGTATAAGTAGCCATTTTTAAGTTTTGTAGCTTCTAAGTGGTATATTGCTCTTTTTGTGAACAACTATTGATATATTCACTATGTAAGGCCCTGCTCCAAGGTACACAGCACAAGGCAATTATGTATTAGGCAAACAGCATAGTGCCCAGAACATAGTAGGACTTCAGCAAGCAATTTCATTTCCCTTTTCTTTCCTATGCCTCATTGCAATTGTCATTCAGTGAAATGGGGCCCTAATAAGAAAAACAAGACGAGATAACATTTACACATTGTAATTTCAAACATTAACTTTTAGAAAGAAAAGGCACTAAAAAGTGTATTACAGGTATTAGAATTTTTTGTAAAATTATAAAATAAATAAAATTTTATAAAAATTACAGCATCAATAAAATTTTATAAAATTATAAAACTACTTTATAATTATAATGCAATAAAATTATTAGACTATATATTAATAGCCTAATCATAGATTAATTTTTAAATGCACATTCCTTTAACTAACTGTACTTGACTTTTTTTTTTTTTTGAGACAGAGTCTCAATCTGTTGCCCAGGCTGGAGCATAGTGGCGAGATCTCAGCTCACTGCAACCTCTGCCCTCCGGGTTCAAGCAATTCTGATTCAGCCTCCCGAGTAGCTGGGATTACAGGCATGCACCACCACTTTCAATGGCAAAAACCTCAATTACTTTTGCACCAACCTAATAATTTTAATAATATATATAACATTTAATTACAGTGTAGAACTATCAATGTTTTCGCAGTGTAATTTGCTGTAATATCTATTAAATCCCATAGACTTGCAGTCTATAAACATGTATACACTCTAAGTAAAATATTAAATGAAATTAAATTAGCTACTCAATTTTCCTCCTACACATAATCTTCTGTACATGCCTTCATTATTTGTATAGTGTTGTGACTTCCGAAAATATCAGGCACATTCATATTAAAATATTAGATACAAAATGCATTCTAAACTCAAGTAATACTTTTGAGTTTATCTGAGCACTGTTGCTAAGTTCTAATATGGAGATAAATATATACTTACACAAAATATTTTCATATTTAGGAATATCATAAATGAATCCCTTGATGACAGGCTTTTCTTAATAATAAAAAGATACCCATGGCAGAATTCGAAAGTAATTACTTGTATTATAATTTTTTTTTTGAGACTCTTGTCACCCAGGCTGGTGTGCAATGGCGCAATCTCAGCTCATTGCAACCTCTGCCTCCCAGGTTCAAGTGATTCTCCTGCCTCAGCCTCCCAAGTAGCTGAGACTACAGGCGCGTGCCACCACACCCAGCTAATTTTTGTATTTTTAGTACAGACGGTGTTTCACCATGTTGGCCAGGCTAGTCTCGAACTCTTGGCCTCAAGTGATCCGCCTGCCAAGGCCTCCGAAACTGTTGGCACTTGAGGCACTGCGCTGAGCCTTGTATTATAATTTTTTTAAGTTATAAGTCTTGTAAGCACCTGCAGCGTTGATTGATGAAGAGAGAGATGCATTGTTAAACAAGATGCCCTCAGGCTTTCCTTTAAGGAATAAAGATTAATAGGACACTCAGAAAAGTAAACACATAATGTAAGTGTGAATAAAGTGGTGTAATTCAGATTCTATGGGAACTCAGAGGACAGACACTCAAATGTCTGATGAATGAAGGCTTGTGTCCATTTTAATTTATATATTCAGCAGATCGATCACTTTTGAATACAATACTCCTCGATGAAAAAGTATAGTCTGAAGTAACCTTAAGATTGTATGTATTATTTTTCACAAATGCAAAGTTGAAATGATTATTCCCAGAGGGTGAGCAGGGCCACAGAAAAGAATAAAACAGGAAATTTCTAAAACTGCATTGAGATACTTGTTTCTTGGAGACTTGGTACCCGTTCCAATGCTTAGCATTTATCAAGTTATTATGGTTTGCCAGAAAATGTGCTCAAAGGACTCTTTACCCTTTAACCCTCCTAACCCTATTAATGTAGTACTAGTATTATGTTCATCTTTTACATGTGGAAACGGGGACCCACAGAGGTTATAGAACCTACCTCAAATTAGAAAGCTGGAAGGCAAGCTTTTAACAACTGTGAGTAAATCTTCTTTTACAGTGTGAGAAAAATCCTAAAACAGAGGGAAAGGGAGACAGGGTGGCAAGGGGAGAGGTATTTGGTGGAGCGTAGAATAACACAACGTCAAATTCTCTTTTATTTTTTTTAGATGGGTGTCACTCTGTTGCCCAGTCTGGAGTGCAGTGGCATGATCATAGCTCACTGTAGCCTTGACCTCCTGGGCTCAAGCAATCTTCCTGCCCCAGCCTCCTAAGTAGCTGGGACTATAGTTGCAGATCACCATGCCCAGCTAATTTTTGTATTTTTTGTAGAGGTAGAATCTCTCCATGTTGCCCAGGCTGGTCTCAGACTCCTGGACTCCAGTGATCTACCTGCCTCAACCTCCCAAAGTGCTGGGATTACACGTGTGAGCCACCACAGCCGGCCATATGTCAAATTCTTAAGCTTCATTCTTAAGCCATATGTCTCATTCTTAATGATTTGTTATCACAGATCATTGAAGAAACTGGCTACATAAATCATTACTCTTGCATTATCAGCCTCTCACAAATCTCTCTAGCATCTGAAAATTACTATCAAATGAACAGTGCTGACTGTTCAGAGTGTCCCAACAGGGTGAAAGCAAGTTGCATGACTCTGTATCTAATTATTTTATAACATCAATATATCCATGATATAGTATCACATAAGACACTGATACATTGGCTATTATATTTGTAAGCCGAACTTTTAATTTTAAACAGGGCTTGTACTTTGATTATTTATCAAAGTATCAAATTCCACAAATAAAATATTCTTTTACTTTGAAATCTCTGTCTTCACTTTATGGCTTTTTATTATGAAACTTTATCTTGGTATTACTGATGTACCTTGACTTCATTATACTAAACAACACTCATATTAGTACTTCAGTACTGGCAATACAGCTAAGCCTTAAACTGAGCCAAATATCTGTTAAAGTGAATTGCTTTTTATGCTGAAATCAATTTATTGAATAAAAGTCCCTTGCCACAATGGAATAAAGAATATAATTCCACCTTTGAAGGAACCCCTAAAACTACAATTTTCAAATTTTTAAAAAGTATAATCCAGCCGGGCGTGGTGGCTCACACCTGTAATCCCAGCACTTTGGAAGGCCGAGGTGGGCAGATCACCTGAGGTCAGGAGTTTGAGACCAGCCTGGCCAACATGGTGAAACCTCGTCTCTACTAAAAATACAAAAATTAGCCAGCGTGGTGGCAGGTGCCTGTATTCCCAGCTACTTGGGAGGCTGAGGCAGGAGAATCGCTTGAACCCGGGAGATACAGGTTGCAGTGAGCTGAGAACGCGCCATCGCACTCCAGCCTAGGGGACAAGAGCGAGACATCGTCTCAAAAAAAAAAAAAAAAGTATAACCTAAAAATTATTCAATAATTTCAAGTGTGTTTTTTAAAACTAAATTTAATCAATCAATTCATATAATGCTATCTATATAAAAGATAAAAATCTTATTCTTGGGCTAACTTGATGGAAAAGGTTCTTAGTTTTTTAAAGGGCTCCGTTGAAGAGTATTCTTAGAAAAAGCGTGGTATACATCAGTGGTCCCCAACCTTTTTGGCACCAGGGACTAGTTTTGTGGAAGACAATTTTTCCACAGCCAGGGTTGGGGGTGGGGTTGGGTTCTGGGATGAAACTGTCCCACCTCAGATCATCAGGTATTAGATTTTCTTAAAGAGCGAAAGCTAGATCCCTTGCATACGCAGTTCACAATAGGGTTTGGGCTCCTATGAGGATCTAATGCTGCTGCTGATCTGACAGGAGGCGGAATGCAGGCGGGAACGCTCAGTTTGAGGTTCACCACGTGCTGTGCGGTCTGCTTGCTAACAGATCACGGACCAGTACTGGGACCATGGTCCAGGGGTTGGGGACCTCAGTATACATAACTAACTAAAATTAGCTGCTAACATTTTCTAGAAATACCTGAGAGCCAACTTATAAGAATATTACTTTACTTAAATTTAGCACCATTTGTATATGTAAAAAAAAAAACTGATATGCTAGAGTTAGTAAAAATGGCTTATTCTCTACAATCTAGTCATTTCCTTTATAGTGCAAACACCTACGCCCCAAGAAAAAAAGAAGGATTACAAATGTGCACACAGGTATCACAAAGAGGCCTTACTAGATCCCATTTCCTTTTTAAAATGGAGACATTTCAAAGGCAGAAAAAATCCTGATTCTGGTTAGGTAATTGAAGTAAATGTAAGAGAGAGTCACGAGGATATTTTTACACAGGCCCAGTACGGGTGTGATAGTCCCCAGGGCAATGATTAAACCAAGTCTAACAAAAACGAATGGTAAATCTTGCAGCAGGACGCTCAGGGAATTGAGAAGAGGGTTTTGGGGAGTGAATGTAATTCGAAGGAGAGAAATAAAACTGAATATGTAGACTGGGTATAGCCAGCTTGACTTGTACACGTTGGGGTGACCAGCCACACGCACCATTTCTATCGTGTCAGACCACAGGAGAAAGCTCCATAAGAATAACTCTGCCCGGACATCTCGCCGGGACATCATTCTCAGGATTCCGGAGTCACAGGAGGGCTCCTGGGGTCCCATGAACACAGACTCCTGGCTCCGTGTCATGGCTCCTGATGGCTGCGACACCTGGGTGCTGTTGGTTGCCTGGGGAGATGCAGCGTTTTCTGGACTTTGCCTCACTTGCTCCGTCACAGTTTTTATGTGTTGCAAAGAGGTTGAATGGATGTGTCCATTTTCACTACCTGCAATTAACAGATTTATTTACATTTTAGTTTTTAAAATGTATCCATTTTAGCTCAAATGTTATTCAAATTTAAAATTCCATTTAAAGGTGGAATTCTCCATATTCTTTTGTTTTTCACTTAATTTAATTTAATTTTATTTTAAGTTCCAGGATACATGTGCAGGACATGCAGGTTTGTTACATAGGCAAATGTGTGCCATGGTGGCGTGCTGCACCTGTCAACCCATCACCTAGATATTAAGCCTCACATGCATTAGCTATTTATCCTGATGCTCTCCCTCCCCACATATTCTATTATTTGAGGCCGATTTTACCCATGGAATTTCAAGATAACACTGAAGTAGCACATTGAAAAAACATAGAGGTGGAGAAGGCTCTTGGTGTCTTGGTATTTTCCTGGATTCAGATCCGAAGTCATTTTTTACCACTCCATAATAACAAACATTATTGGTTTCTAAGCTATACGCTTTCACATATTATCTCATTTAATCCTCAGAACAGAGCTGAGAAAATAGGGATTACTATCCCATTTTACAACTATGGAAACGGGCTTGAGAGGTTAAAGAACGCCAATATTCAAATGCAGTTAGTATTGGGCAGAGCTGCAATTCACACCTAGATTTGTTTGACTCCAATTGACAAACTCTTAACTTTATGGCTGCTATTACCTGTCTAGATGCAATAGATCATGAGCTAATTATAAAACATTTGAGTGTCATAAAATCAAGTGAATCTAAAAGTCCCCCAATCCAACTTTGTCATTTTATAAGACAAAGGCCCTGTCATTTTGTAAGAAGAGGCTTACAGAGATTACCATACCCTAGATCTCCAGGCGTGAAGTTTGGTGCTAAGAGGGAATCCATTGTTTTTTGTTTGTTTGTTTGTTTTTTTGTGACAGAGTCTTGCTCTGTCATCCAAGCTGGAGTGTAGCAGCATGATCTCGGCTCACTGCAACCTCCACCTCCTGGGTTCAAGCGATTCTCCTGCCTCAGCGTCCCGAGTAGCTGGGATTACAGGTGCACACCACCATGCCTGGCTAACTTTTAGTAGAGACGGGGTTTCCATGTTGGCCAGGCTGGTTTCAAACTCCTGACCTCATGTGATCTTCATGCCTTGGTCTCCCAAAGTGCTGGGATTATAGGTGTGAGCCACAGTGCCTGGCCTAGAAGGAATCTGTTTGACCACTAGAGATTCATAGTGAAGAGTGACATGCTGAATCCAAGGTTTTTAAGCTGTTCTTTTGCAAAGATTCTAGAAGTGATCGTTAGGATTGGTTAACCTAAAGCATCTCTTCTGTGGCCATGGTCAACACACCAGTGATCTGAATGAATAGGGCACGTGATGCAACACCATTGTGTGTGTGTGTGCGTGTGTGTGTCTGTGTGTTCCTCTCCATGTATAATACATGGGTGTTGAGGTTGGATTATGTACAAATTCTCAAATCTCAAGACCTAAAACAATGTTGATGGCATTGTTTTTATGCACAGAAGGTATAACGAGTTCTTTTTCAAACATTTATCCACTAAAACACCATTTTGGTTGCTAAGAAATTATCAGGACTTGACAAAGTTTACTCAGCAAACATGCTGAGCTGCCATATGACGTGATAAAACAAAACTTAAAAGGAGCCATTAGACTGAATAGCTCTAAAGGTCAAAGAGACAAAGTCAATAAAAATTTGTTGAAGCGCGTGGAACTGAATTTGAAAACATTTTAAAATAAATAAATTATTATGAATAACTAATAAAATGCTTACCTACTGTAAGTAGGAGTTTGTTTAAAGGACACAATACATTTCTAATTTCTTTTATACAAGTAACTAATTAGTTTTAAAGTTTAAGTGTGAATTGAGCATTTTTATAAACTAAAAAGATAATCTAAATTCTTGATGACACATTACTTCCAGTATGAATCATTGATAGGTAAATGTCAGCACCCATGACCTTAGAAACTTCTTTACCAATATTAGAATTCACAGTGGCCTGAGTGGGAATCATCTTAATAAATAATACTAAAGTAAGGGAGAAAATTATACAACAATTTATTATTCTAAAATTCATAAAACCATCTCTTTTTAAACTCAGATGCTCATTTGTATCCATTGCACCTCTTATGTTATTTAAAAAATTAATATAGAGCCAGGCGTGATGGCTCACGCCTGTAATCCCAGCAGTTTGGGAGGCTGAGGCAGATGGATCACCTGAGTTCAGAAGTTCGAGACCAGCCTGGCCAATGGTGAAACCCATTTCTACTAAAAATACAAAAAAAATAGCTGGGAGTGGTGGTGGGCACCTGGAATCCCAGCTACTCTGGTGGCTGAGGCATGAGAATTGCTTGAACCCGGTAGGAGGAGGTTGCAGTGAGCTAAGATCGCACCACTGCACTCCAGCCTGGGTGACAAGTGAGACTCCATCTCAAAAAATAAAATAAATAAAAATGAATTTAAAAATCAATATAGAAAATATTGCCTTATAATATGTCATGTCCTAGAGAACTTTTGTTCCCCTCTCTTGGTAGGTGAAACTGTCATAATGAAAATCCCAATGGCTTTGTCAACATTCAGAACACAGTGTATAATTTGGGCTTTTGAGAGATGATTGCAAATTCAGCATTGTTTCAAAGCCAGGAAGTGGAAACCCCAAAAGTGACACATTAACATTTTTTTAAACAGTCAGGGAGAGTCTTAACATTTCAGATGCTAAGAGCAGCTGCTATGAACAATGAATTCTTAGCTGGAGTTTGGTTTTAATGAGATACATGTGTATGTGGTGAGATTAGGTCTGTGAACTTCATATCTCTCCACAGCTCAAATTAAATTAGGGGGTACAGGGACTCTGCTTCCTCTTTTCAAGTAAGAAGTACTAGAACTATTAGCTGGAAAGCTTTGATGGCCTCCCAGAGGGCTGGGGAGAGTTAACAAAGCTGAGAAACCTTTTGGTCATTGGAGGGGACCAGCAAGCACATCTCGGAGCAAAGTACAGGGTCATGGATTTGATACTATTCCCTTTAGCTCCAGGGTGAGTTTTCTCTCCAAATAAGTACTTTCTAAATGTCCACTTAGAGCTGGAATTCTTTTTCCCATTGTTGTTAGTTGTTATTTGTTCTGTTTGGGTAAAACAATATTCATTGGTGCAAAATCTATAGAAGATATAAGCATAAAGAGAGAGCTCTCCTCACCTCCTGAGAGGCTCACATGGCCCTGTAAAAAGTAAAACTAGCAGCCTTTTGATCTAGTTTCCCACATCTGATTCTAGTTGCTGAAACGACTTTTGGTCGTCACTGTGTAAGCTAAATGACCAAGAAAATGTCATTTTGTTAGCAGACAAGAGGCTAAGTAGGCAACTGTTACATACTTTACTTAGTTGTTTATTTATGGATTTATTTTTACCTCTAACTTGTTCTCCAAAAGTTTTTAACACCTAACGTAAAACAAAGGCACATGATAACAATTCAGTAGTGAGGCATTTTCTAGAGTGTTCATTTCTCTTGCAAAGAGAACAGGAAAACAATATGTTATCTAAATAAAAACAGAGGCAGGTACGGTGGCTTACGCCTGTAATCCCAGCACTTTGGGAGGCTGAAACAGGGGGATCGCTTGAGGCCAGGACATCCAGATCAACCTGGCTAACGTGGTGAAACCCATCCCTACTAAAAATACACAACATTAGCCGGGCACATTGGTGCACGTGTGTAATCCCTGCTACTCAGGAGGCTGAGGCAGGAAAATTACTTGAACCCAGGAGATGGAGGTTGCAGTGAGCCGAGATTGCACCACTGCACTCCAGCTTAGGTGACAGAGCAAGACTCCATCTCAAATAATTAATTAATTAATTAAAGAGGAAGAAAAGAAAAAAGAATCACAAAGAAAAGGCACCTAAAAACATCCAGGAAGAAAGCTAATGCTAAAAATGCATTCATTAGACTCCCAACTGCCTGTAATGAGCAAATATGAGAGTGCCGTACCAAGCCTGGGCTAGACAGACGTTGGCAAATGGCATCCCAAATAGCACAGAAGTAGCTCATAGCTTCATGACTGTGAGTCTCCTGCAATCACACCAATAAATATAGAATAATAAATGGTGGCTGGGCTTTAAAGGAAAGTAAATTCTGTGATGAGAGATAATCAAAGGGGATTCAATGGGGAGTCAAAGGAGGCTCGTCTGAGACCTGACAGTTAAGCAGAGATAGTAAGAATGAGTAGGAATTGATTCAGTGAAGAATGGAGAAAAGAACTTGCAGGTAGTAGAAATGGCCTGTGTAAATATCCTTCAGCTAGCAGGAACTGAAAGAAAGGAGTTTGGTGAGAGGTGGGGGATGCAGAGAGGAAGTGGGAGAGGAAAAGAGCTGGTGACTATTAAGAACTTTGTACGTATCAGGCACTTTTCCAAGCCCTTTATATGCTTTAACTCACTTATTAAAACCCTATGGTTTTCCCATTTTATGTCACTTTACGTTATTTTAGAGACAGCGTCTTGCTCTGTTGCCCAGACCGGAGTACAGTGGCACAATCATAGCGCACTACAGCCTCCAACTCTCAGACTCAAGCGATCCTCCTGCCTCAGCCTCCCAAATAGCTGGGACTACAGGCTTGCACCACCACACCTGACTAATTTTTTTTTTTTTTTTTACTTTTTATAGAGACACGGATGACTTGCTATGTTGTCTAGGCTGGTCTCAAATTCCTGGACCCAAGTGATCCTCCTGCCTCAGCCTCCCAACGCACCAAATTACAGGCATGGGCCACTGCATGCAGCCTATTTTCCCATTTTAATGATGAGTAAACTGAGGCACAGAGAGATTATGCACTATTTCCAAGGTCACACAGCTAGCAAGTAGAAAGACCAGAACTTGAGTCCCAAACCCTTAACTGTTGTACCACACTGTCTGTGGCAGAGACAGATTATAGAGAGTCTTATGGTCCAGGATAAAAGTTTTGGATTTTATTCTAAGTTTATTAGGTTGTTGCAAAAGTAGCAACTTAGAGGCGAATGTGAGGCAGTAGAATGAAGACACAGAAGTCAGCAGAGGCAGCTGATGTGCAAAGAGATTGTTACCCAATTCACAGCAGCCAAAACATAATTACTCAGAAACAAATATGGCTAGTCTTAGGGTAATCCCCCAAATCTATTTCTCCCAAGGGGAAAATGGTTAGAGGAATCTAAAAATGAATGATTTAGGCATAACACTGAGAAAAATATATGGAGCAGAAGAAAATTACCAGTCCTTTTAAAATGATTTTTGAAAAAACATTCGGCACACAAAGCAGTGGTAGTCATAATAATTTCAGAGGACAAAGGGAAAAAGGCAATAAATTAAAATACACTTCAAGGTAAATTAGAAACACTGTTATTTATTTCTTTATTCATTTATTTATTTACTTTAGAGACATGGTCTCACTCTGTTGCCACAATCATAGCTCACTGCAGCCTCAAGCTTCTGGGCTCAAGCGATCCTCCTGCCCCAGCCTCCCAACTATCTGGGACTACAGGCTCACTCATTCATCCATTCGTTTATTCCCTGTCTCAAACACTTACAATGTCTAAGATACTGTACTAGGAATTGTGGAAGACGCAACAATCAATAGGTATGATTCTCACCCTTCTAGCAGCTTCCATTCAAATACAGCACTCTGAACTAAACCTTAGAAAGCAGAACTTCAGCTTCATCATTTATTTATTTATTTATTATTTTTGAGACTGCGTCTTTCTCTACCCAGAGTGGAGTGCAGTGGTACAATCCTGGCTCATTGCAGCTTTGATGTCCTGGGCAAACGCGATCCTCCCACCTCAGAATCCCAAGTAGCTGGGACTACAGGCATGCGCTATGACGCCTGGCTCATTTTTTTGTTTTGTTTTGTTCGTTTTTTGTTTTTTTGTTTTATTCTTTTCTTTTTTTGAGACGGAGTCCCGCTCTGTCGCCCAGGCTGGAGTGCCATGGCGCGATCTTGAATCACTGCAAGCTCCGCCTCCCGGGTTCATGCCTTTCTTCTGCCTCAGCCTCCCGAGTAGCTGGGACTACAGGCGCCCGCCCCCACGCCCGGCTAATTTTTTTTTGTATTTTTAGTAGAGATGGGGTTTCACCATGTTAGCCAGGATGGTCTCAATCTCCTGACCTCGGGATCCTCCTCCTAGGCCTCCCAGAGTGCTGCGATTACAGGCGTGAGCCACCGTGCCCGGCCCTGGCTCATTTTTTAATTTTTTGTAGAGATGGAGATCTCACTATGTTGCCCAGGCTGGTCTTGAACACCTGGCCTCAAGCGATCCTTCTGCCTCAGCCTCCCAACGCACTGGAATTACAAGCATGAGCCTCCACACCCAGCTAAACACTGTTATTTTGACATACTCTCACTGAGGTAGGGAAGACAAGTAATATTGCCAAGCAATAAATGATGAAATGGGACATCAACCTCACAGTGAAGGAATTCGTCAGCATCTGTAAAGCACTTAAAAATAGTGTTTGGCATATAGAATGGTCATGTATGTGTTAAATAAATAAAAAGTAGCAATAGTGAAATAATTAATTGTTTTAAATTAATTGGGACAGAATAGAATATATTAGGTTGCAGTAAATAGTAAGAGTGACTATAATTTGTTTAACTTTGGCTATAGTTACACTATAACTCATTATCTGGTATATCAGGGGAGGTCACAAGTTAGAGAAAGACTGTCACACTACAGAGACTAAACAAGATCATGAGTTTCTTATATTTGCCTGTTCACATCACAAAGAAAAATGCTACCCTACAGATATAACCTACACAGGTGAAGGCAGCTTACACCAGCTAACAAGAGTCTCTTGTGTGTATCTCTTCCTAATTCCATTATCAGTGTTCAGTGATACCACCTTGGTAGCTTGAAATCGGTCATAGTGGGAGAATTTACACCACAGACACTGGCAAATGTTACAAATCAGGACTTCCCCACTCCTCAACCCCACTCCACAAAGGCAACTGATTAAACACTGACCAGTATACTACTACTGCCTGTGCTCAAAACTGTGTACAAGTTTTCAACAAATAATAATGAATTCAAGACAAATATTCAACCCGTCATCAGCTCTGGAAAAGCCTGTGGGCATGCATTCCCAGCTGTGAAATAGTTGCGGCAACTTTCTTTACAGAAAGCATGAGATTGTTGTCCAGTAAATTCAAAAACCCTAAGATCCCATTTCAGTTCCATGCCACTCATTGTGTAAATCTGACAATAAATAAATGTATCATTTCTGTATCTTATACAATATAAAATGTTAAGAGAATTATTTTGTCAGAGGACACAACTAGAAAGCTAGGTGGTTTAAAATTTTTTAACTTTTTTTTTTTCTTTTTTTTTTTTGTAGAGATGGGGTCTTGCTATGTTACTCAGGCTGGTCTTGAACTCCTGGGCTGAAGCAACCCTCCCACCTCAACCTCCCAAAGTGCTGGGATTACAGGTGTGAGCCACCATGCCCAGCCCACTGGATGGTTTAGAGATCATTTTTCCCTCTACTGCTGCTTTACAGACTTATCTAACACTCGACAAGTGTTGCTAAAATCTTAATATTATCAATTTTTAAATATTCCATTTTTAAATATTGAAAAAATGTTCCAATCTAAAATTCCTAATCTTCAGCTTTTCATTCATATTGTGGTCCTTCTCCCCAAGAGATATATGGTTAGACTAGAAAATGTTATTTAATTTACAATATATTTTATACAAAAGTAATTATATTATTTATGTTACTTATAATGATATATATTTCTAGATATATTTTACTCAAAATATCTAATATATAAATAAATTCATGCTGAATTCTTCATGTTCTGTTATTCTTATCAATGTTCCTGAAACATTTATTTATTTTATAATATATATAAAAATAATATACCATTGAATATGTTTAAAAATATATACATAGTAAGGTAGAATGTCAAGGTGCATATAGTTATCTCATTGCCAAAGAGAAATAATCCTATACTTTGAAATGGTCTGAAATGCCTCTACCCGTATTTCCTCCTTTATTCCAAATACTCAGGAGTTTTAAGTGCTTGGATACAGACATGAGCTAGCAATCCCAGCAGGAGTGGATGACAGAAACTGATGCATAATGGATTAAACCTGAGTCATTGCATTCTTAAGAACCTCCGTCAGCCTGGTTTATGCATATTTACTAGTGTAGTTTAAGAGCCCTGGAGCGTCTAGACCAGGAGCTCCGCAAAAGGCAGCCTCGCCTGTTTCTGCTCAGCTTTGTACCCCCAGCACCAGTGGAGTGCCTGGTATTGATATGGAACAGATCCACCATAAAGATTTGCTGAATAAAAGGTGGGAGGAATTTCTTTTCTGGAATCTATTAGCATGAGGGAGCAATGAGCATTCTGGGGAAAAAACCTGCACTAAGGCAAGGAAGCCAAAGCATGAAAGCTCGGCCCAGCCATTGACTCTGGTTCCCGTAGAGTCAATGGGTAAAAAATGTGGAGCTCTGCACAGAGTCTACCACTCAGATGCCCCTATGGCCCAGTCCTGGAGGGAGCCCCTTAAGCAAGGCCATGACGATTGATTCCACTAACATACCCTGGAAGACATGGGGAGCACCTGGCAGCACAGGCTGGGGACCGGCAACACTAAGGGGACTTAGCTCAACACTAAGAGAGGATGTAATGCGACATCAGGCCCCACAGAGGGTGCCAGCGCTGTCTGGCATGGCACAGTCCACAGTGCTTGGGCAGACAGTTGGCACCAACAGCAGCAGCAGTGCTTCAAAGCATGCCAGAGACCATCCAGGCACCAGTAGCGTCAGGGGTCACCAGGCAGGGGGAAGAAAGGGCATGTATTAGTCCGTTTTCATGCTGCTGATAAAGACCTACCCAAGACTGGGAAGAAAAGGAGGTTTAATTGGACTTACAGTTCCACATGGCTGGGGAGGTCTCACAATCATGGCAGAGGGTGAAAGGCATTTCTTCCATGGCGGCAGCAAGAGAGAATGAAGAAGATGCAAAAGCGGAAACCCCTGATAAACCCATCAGATCTCATAAGGCTTATTCACTATCACGAGAATAGCATGGGAAAGACAGGTATTTATTTACTGTCAGGTTTACCTATGATTCAATTACCTCCCCCTGGGACCCTCCCACAACATGTGAGAATTCTGGGAGATACAATTCAAGTTGAGATTTGGGTGGCGACACAGCCAAACCATATCAGGGCAGATGTGTAATTTCAAGAAGATCATGTTTGTGATCTCATAGGAAGAAGCCCTGAGAACCCTCCAGTCCCCCCACCTATGCACACACATCCAGAAACAGAAGGACTTAAGGTCCCAAAATAGCAAGTGGAAGCAGAACATGAGAAAAGCGGTGTTCTTCTAGATAGGACCTTACTATTAGTATACACACAATATCAACAACAAATGATCAAGAACATCAGCTGAGCCAGGGGCTCATGCTTGTAATCTCAGCACTTTGGGAAGCCGAGGCAGGAGGATCACTTGAGCTCAGGAGGTCGAGGCTGCAGTGCACTGTGATCGTGGCACTGCCCTCCAGCATGGACAACAGAATGAGACATTGTCTCAAAAAACAGAAGAGAAAAAGAACATCCACACATTATGCAGGTGATCAGCTCTCTTTGACCTAAGATATGAAAATGTAAATATTGAAAATCAGTGACCTATGCCTTTAATGTCAAACTGGTCCATAATAATATGGAACACAAGGCTTGGTATTATAAAGTAACACATGCTGAATTCTTTTATTCCCTTATTCCTATCAGTCTCCCTGAAATATTTGTTTCCAAAGTATTCTGCGACTTGCAAGTGTCTCATTTAATATACTAAAATTATTCACAATTCTTTTGCCCACTTAGGAAAAACAAACAATTTAATGCCAAATTATTAAAATCATATAAAGCTGTCAAGATCAAAGGGAGCTTTCACTGAAAATTTTGATAGCACCTGACATTCTATGTCTGTTGGTACCCGGCTCACTCCAGTATAGCTTTTGGCCCAATCTCATGGGTCTAATCCAGACAGCTGGCACTTCATTAGAAGATATAAATCAGAAATCCTACCCTTCTCTTACCCCAGTCTAGTAGATGCCCACTTACTTCTTGAGAAGAGGAAAAAAAATCCTAGAACTAACATACTTTCCTGAAACTTCCTTCTTCTAAGTAGCAAAGGGAGGGTAGGAAAGGAAATATCCCCCCCCGGTTGGTCCCCGGACACAGTGTTCCTCATAGTCACCCCTGAGCACATTGCAAAACAACACATTATGGAAATTCAGCTCGCACTAGGGGCTCATCTTGTATAATAAGCTATTTCTTAAAAAGAACTAAAGAGGAACTCAAAATGCCATTCATTTTATTAAAAAAAAAAGCTACATCCTTTTTTTGTTTGTTTGTTTCCTTTTAATGTCTATGACATCTCTTACATGCTATTTGGTAAAAGTGTCATGAGTTACATTTCAAGGAAATTTGGAAAGCCAGTTCCCTTTAAGAATTTGGATTGGCCTGTGCTTGGATTGGCCTCTCTGCTTTTAACTTGATATTTATGACAGCTCCTAGCACTTTCTATAGTAAGAGGTTCTCAGAGTGGGCATCATAATCTATGGCGGAGCTTTAAAAAATTACAGATGCCAGGTTCTGTCTTCCAGTCTGTTGATCGCTAGGTAGAGCTCATGCATATGTATAGTGAAGACACGTTGATGATCTCTGGTGGAAACCCACGGCTAAGAGTCCCTGTATTTGTGATAACCAGTGGCCCCCGATTCAATGGCAATAGCTTAGACTTTCCATAAAAATTACTGTTGGCATTCATTTTCAGAAATTATATTCTGGTAAGTCAATACCAAGAAGAAATAACTCAGAAAGAAACAGTTCCTTTTCCTTCTTCCTTCCTGCTCTGCGAACTCCCAAATCTGGGTCAGTCCTAACGCTTCTATCTTTTCAACCTGCAAGGCCCAGATTTCTGAGCCTCAGTGAGGAAAAAAATCACATTATCTGGATTGGCCCCAGAACAAATTCCTGGTTCCAATTTCTGCTGCACACTCAACATTACTCATCCATCTGTCTCCCTATCCCTCGCCCACTTCATCTCCATTCCCCACAGCAGTTACCCCAGAGCTTCCCCATTCTTTTGGGTCCTCTCCCCTCTATCCATCTCCATTGTTCTCAGCAGAAAATTTGCTTCCTATTTCATGAAGAAATTGGGGCATTATCTGATGTAAATTCCCCTTGCTTGCTTTCTCCCTATCCACTCCTATTATTTTCCCAATTGTGAATCACCTGGGAATCACTAATTTTAAAAATTAGTAGTGCCTGGGCCTCACTCCAAAAATTATGATTTCATTAACCAGGCAGCATCCTAGGCATCAAAACTTTTAAATTTCCATAGTTGATTTTAATGTACAGCCAAGGATGAGAAGCACTGCTCTTAATTAGAGATATAAATCAGGGTCACTCAATGAGGTTTCCTTTTTTAAAATCCAAATATGCCTAATCCCATCCCCAGAGATCCTGATTCAGTTCATCTGGGGCAGCTGTGCTTGGCACTGATATTTTTAAAGCACTCTATTAAGTGCTTTTTTATATGTTGGAAACACCAGAAGAAATACAATAGAATCAGAAGTCTAAAAACTTTGCCAGCTCAGGTAAATAAACATGTTGACTATCTTGTCTAACTTATTGGTTATTTATAAATTAACCAACTTGTATCCTATAGAGAATTCAATTTTTCTTCATTAAACATTTAAATGTAAACTGCTTCGGGAAAATAATTGGTAAATAATTTTTACTTGTAGTGAAAAAAAGACTTTTTAAGCATAACTACACCATACAGAAATACTAATAGCTTGGATGACATCAAAATTTAAAATTCCCTATATGAAAAACACCATAGTAAAATTAAAAGGCAAATGAGAACCCTGAAACATACACTACACCTATGACAGGCAAAACTTAACAGCCTTACTATTTATAGAACTCATGAATCAGCAGGAAAAAAAAAGGAAGTAGAAGAAGAAAATAAAAGAAAAATGGCCATACCAACATAAAAACAGATCAAAGACCTAAATATATGATTTAAAAGAAAAATACAACTGGCCAATAAGCCTATGAGAAGAGGGCAAACACAACTACAACTACTACTATTTTGCCTACGATACTATTTTGCAAGAGAGGAAATGGAATAAATTTCCAGTGTTGCAAGGTTGTAAGGTTAAGGAGAAACAGGTATTTCTTTACGTTGCTATTTAGAGGGTAAGTTCTTTAGAGGGAGCAATTTAACTACACATATCAAAAACCTTAAAAGCTTGCACGGACTGTGAGCCGGAAGTTCTGCATCTGAACATTTGACCTAAGGAAATAGCCATCTATGCTGCTGAGGTGCCTGCAGGCACTGACTCAAGTTTCTGATATTAAAAGACCACACAGAAGGCATTGGACGAGGGCCATTGGGAGCAGATTTATTTGAAAACCTTACCCTGCCAACATCATACCGGGCACCTCTCGCTGATGTGATAGTGGAAACCGCCTCCTTTGCAGGGAGCTGAGGTTTTCCACTCAAATAGCCTGTTGACCTCACCTCTAGCCAGCCATCTCTGACCATGCGGCTCTCCCTAATGCAGCCAAACCCCTCTTGCCACACCGCACAGTACATACGATCCCATTACGGGCCCCTCGACATTCCCAGCCTGTGTAACCAGTCCCTAGTAGTCACTTTCTTCTGGCAGTGTTCTTGCTGAGGAGTCTGGGCATGAGCAGATGCTCCAGGCCTTCTGAGGACACTCTGCAATCATCATCCTGATATCATTCGGCTCCCATCCAGAGGCAGTTAACTCTCTCCATCCCCAGCTTCTGTTTTGCCAGTCACCTCACTGAGAGGTTTCTGACTCCCACACGGAGCACAGGGCGCTTTAAACACAGCCCACCTGCACTACACATGGACACGTGCTTTAACCATGACTTGTCTGCCCTGTCCAACTCAAGCACATCGCCTCAGGCATTCTAACCATATCCTTGTCCTTCTCAACCCTTTTACTTCTGAATGAGACTCATAACAGCAGGATTTATCATAGTTAAAAACTGGAACAAATCTAGTTGTTCAACAACTGGGGATCTGCTAGATATATTATCATGGCTCATTAACATAATGGAATATAATTTGACCAATAACACCTTCTACACAGTAGAAGATGTAATAATGAGGCCTGGCGCGGTGGCTCACACCTGTAATCCCAGCACTTTGGGAGGTGAGGCGGGTGGATCATTTGAGGTCAGGAGTTGAAGACCAGCCTGGCCAACACGGTGAAATCCCGTCTCTACTAAAAATACAAAAATTAGAGGGACGTGGTGGTGCACGGCTGTAGTCCCAGCTACTCGGGAGGCTGAGGCACGAGAATCGCTTAAGCCCAGGACCAGAGATTGCAGTGAGCAGAGATCATGCCACTGCACTCCAACCTGAGCAACAGAGTGAGACTGTCTCAAAATGAAACAAAATAAAACAAAAAGAAGATGTAATAATGAGAATGATGCCCACCATACATTAAGAAAAAAAGAAGAGTTGCAGAATAGGTTTTCTTAACACATGAATGTACATCAAGATGCTATCCAGTAACAAATTTCTAGTTTGTAGGGTTATGGTTGGTTTACCTTTTCTTTTTTGTTTATCTCTATTTTATAACTTTTTAAAATGAGTATGTGTTCTTTTGGAAAAATGCAACATTGGAAAGAAAAAATTCAACATGGCATGTTAAAAGGTTTATCTGTTTTTCAAAGGTGTTGAGCCTCAAGCCAGTTTGTACCCCACCAAGACGGGTCACTCTGCCTACAAAGCTGAAACTGCCCAGAGCAGCAGCAGTAGTCACAAGACCTTAGATGGGGGCTCACTTTGCCTCTAGGTGGTGCAGTCATGATTGCCAGGGAGCTGGGCCTGGAGAGAGAGTTGGCAACCTATCTATCTCTTCATAGAAATGGTAGTGTCCTAGAAACAGGTGCGGTTACAATGCTGAATGAAGCCCTAGGTTAATGATTTTTAAACATTTAGCAGAGGAAGCTTTTTTTTCCCCCAAATGAAATCTCACATAAAACATCAACTCTTAAACACACAAAAATATTGTTGATCATGATGAAGCTCTCCCTTCTCCCAAACACACACATACAACACACACACGCATGCAAATTTTCTTTCCTTTTTTTTTTTTTTTTTTTTTGAGACAGAGGTATGTTCTATCACCCAGGCTGGAGTGCAGTGGTACCATCTCAGCTCACTGCAATCTCCGCCTCCTGGGTTCAAGCGATTCTTCTGCCTCAGCCTCCCCAGTAGCTGGTATTACAGGCGCATGCCACCACGGCCAACCAATTTTTATATTTTTAGTAGAAACGGGGTTTCACCATGTTGGCCAGGCTGGTCTCAAACTCCTGACCTCAGGTGATCCCCCCCACCCCCAACCTCAGCCCCACAAAGTGCTGGGATTACAGGCGTGAGCCACCACGCCGGGCTGCATGCAAATTTTTAGTCACTCTTGAAGTAACATTGTAGGTTTCTGAAATGACAATTTGATGAACAGTAGTCAGTTTTAAGAAGGAAACTTGCCTCCCAGCACCAGGTTTGTTGATTCAAGGTGTGAAATCCAACCAAGCTTAATTTTGATATAGGAGTTAAGAAGAAATTATTTAGGCAGATATGAGGGTACGGGAGTCCTTGGTAAGGTTTTCCTTTTAATGAAAAGCACTCCCAAATCATTTTCTAACAAACAGCAGCCTGTAAAATCGAGCTGCAGACACAGACAAGCAAGCTGGAAGCGTGTACAGGTGAATGCTGGCAGCTGTGCCAATAGGAAAAGGCCACCTGGGACTAGGCATGGTCAAAATGGTGGCTCCATCTTCCCTTCTCTTTGCCAGCTGCATGTACAGTGAGGAGCAGGCAACATGGCACCAGCCAAGTGGAAAGTCCATTTGCATAATAAGATTACGGTGGGGTGACCAGCCTTTTCTGGGTGCTATGTAAACATCACACCCAGTCCAACCAATCTCTGAGCCCTATGTAAATCAGACACCACCTCCTAAAGCCTGTCTATAAAACCCGGTGCACTCTGTCATGGCTGGAATTCCCATTTAGGAGCCCCTCTGTCTCGAAAGAGAGAGAGCTGCTCTCCTTTCTTTCTTTTGTCTATTAAACCTCCGCTCCTAAACTCACTCCTTGTGTGTGTCCATGTCCTTAATCTTCTTGGCACAAGATGACGAACCTTGGGTATCTACCCCAGACAACAACACTGCTTCATTTTCACTTCCCAAACATGGCCATTTGCTACATACACGCCTTAGTTCTTGGAGGCCCAACCTTTCTTCTATGTAGAAAGCTTTCTTTACCATGTCTACCTACAAACTCCTGCAAACCCAAGATCTTCCCTTTAGTCTTCTCTTACCTTCATCACCTTAGATAAAATGAAGTTTTCCTTCATCTGTGGCACCATAGTACTTTAGCTATTAAAATCTATTGTAGCACTTTGTAACAGCATGTCTGGCCTGGGCTGCAAGTCCTATTCAAATGAGTCTTGAAGGTAGGACTGAAAACTCTCTCTCTAATCATGGACACTTTCATAGGTCTGTTTGCACCCACTGGTTTTGATGGGGGTTAAGGAATCTAGGTAGTGACAAGGAGAGGACTCTAACGATGGCAAGGATTGAGGTTCAGGCAATATAGCTAAGCCTGATTTGAGGATCTATGAGACCCCCATGGAGAAAAGCTGCCTCAAAGGAGTCTGGCTCTGCCACATTCAGCCACGAGTTCTATAAGTGGGAGGGGAAATGGTGGTTTCCAGGGGAGTAGAATGGCCACTACCTGAAATCACTGAAGCCCAGCCAATTTGTTGGTACATATACACTCTAAGGGCTAAAAGGCTGTTGTTTCCAAGAAAAAAACAGTTATTATAGTGCTCTGCCTGAAACCTCTTTAGAAAACTAGAACTCGGTGGCAGGAAGCCAATATTCCCACTAGCAGAAGAAAGGAAGTCAGTCTAAAGCACCAGCAAAACATCCACCAATATCCCAGACACAAGCAACAGCAGCACCAACAGCATTTAGAGCAGAGCCGAGCAGGAGTGGTAGAAAATAGCATGCTGAGGGGTTTGCACGTGAGAGTGAAAAGCTGAGTGCAAAGCAGATGCAGCAAGGTAGTCAGGGGTCTGGACCAACAAATAAGGGCACAGGAGACCCACTGTGGGTCTGGTTTAAAACAGCAGCAGCAGGTGGACACGGTGGCTCATGCCTATAAACCCAGTGCTTTGGGAAGCTGTGGCAAGCAGATCACTTGAGGTCAGGAGTTCAAGACCAGCCTGGCCAACAGGGTGAAACCCCATCTCTACTAAAAATACAAAAATTAGCCAGGCATGGTGGTGCCCTCCTGTATTCCCAGCTACTTGGGAGGCTGAGGCAGGAGGATCAAGACTCTGTCTCAAAAAATTAATTAATTAACTAATTAATTAAATGGGAGCAGAAAAAAGACAGTGAAGAAGAGGAGATGAAAGTCCTCTTCTTTACTGTTGAGCCTCAAACCAGTGTGTACCCCACCAAGATGGGTCACTCTGCCTACAAAGCTGAAATTGCCCAGAGCAGCAGCAGCAATCACAAGACCTTAGATGGGGGCTCACTTTGCTTCTAGGTGGTTCAAGGTCATGATTGCCAGGGAGCTGGGCCTGGAGTGAGAGCTGGCAACCTATCTATCTCTCCGTAAAAATGGTAATGTCCTAGAAACAGGTATGGTTGCAATGCTAAATGAGCGTTAATACATGGGATTCAGTTAGCAAAATTCAAATGGAAGCATTAAGGTGCGCTCATTTGTACCCACAGGCTATCCTTTGTATTCTTGTTATTTCTGCACGGGACTGGGGATTGGCATTCCTAGGTACCACGTACATCTGTGAGACTGCCGTGCTACAGAGATCCACGCGTCAGAAAAATGCTCCCATGCACTGCTCTACCTCCATGAAACGATGCACTTAGAAGCTGTTGCATGATAATTACTTGATACTGAGAGATTTCCACTGGTAATACGAAGTTAGTAGAAAGGATTCCTTGGTCCGGTGAAGACTGCTTTAAGCATAAGCATATTTTGTCAGCAGAATAACTTATTTAAAATTTTGGAAAAAGAAAAGCTACACAAAGATAAAAGTTTTGTAGCTTGGAATGAAGATGGTTAGGATGCTGTGAGAGTGTCCATAAATCAAAACGTTGTAGATTATGTTGGTTTCATCTAGCATAAAGTCCAAACTGCTGCTAGCTGACAGACATGTATGCATTTCAGACTATCTGGAAAGAGCAAAGAACATATTCACTTTTCCCACATTTCCTAAAGGGAGCCAAATTATTCTAGATCTTGTTCATCCCCCGCCTCTAGTCAATTTTTTTTACTTGCAAGTATCACCTGTAGTGAAACCATATTTATGGTATATTTGCTTAGGTTCAGATTTATGTATTTAAGATTTACATGTTAATGTATTCATATATTAATTCATGTTCCAAGTAATAAATGAGAAAACCTCATGGATTCAAAATTTACATAATTTATATCATTAATTTCATGTTAAAATGAGTGTAGGAGACAATTTGGGTTCAAGGTCTTTGCATACAAATTAAAAGCATGTATGATTCATATTTACAAAGGCATTTCAAGTGACTGCTAGTTTTTTTAAGTGTGAATTTATTAAACGGTGGAACTATCAAACCAGACACTAATCTTCCTAAATTTGGACGGAGAACAGCTCAAGAAGGAGGCTCTTCAAGTGAGAAGCAGTTGTACAAATTGTGCTAGAGTCTTCTCCCCCAGATCTACTTCTTCTTTAGATGTCTTATTTCAATTCTCAGTGTCATTATTGAAGTTATGGATGCAAGGAAATTCCCCTTTAAAAACCCAACTAATGGCCAGCCACGGTGGCTCACACCTGTAATCCCAGCACTTTGGGAGGCCCAGGTGGGTGGATCACCTGAGGTCAGGAGTTCGAGACCAGCCTGGCCAACATGATGAAACCCTGTCTCTACTAAAAATACAAAAATTAGCCACGCATGGTGGCACATGCCTGCAATCCCAGCTACTCGGGAGGCTGAGGCAGGAGAATTGCTTAAACCCAGGAGGCAGAGGTTGCAGCGAGCAGAGGTCATGCCGCTGCATTCCAGAGCAAGACTCCGTCTCAAAAACAAAACAAAACAAAACAAAAAAACAACTCATCACTAACAAAAATAAAATGTTATTAACTTATTCCCAAAAAGATACACGTGTCTTTCTTTTTTAAAAAGACCTTTTAACTTGGACAGGAAATTTATATTAATATGGAAAATACAGAGTCATCAGAAACCATCCAATTTAACGCTGGGTGCAGCCGTGCACAGCTAGAATCCCAGCTACTCAGGAGGCTGATGCAGGAGGATCTCCTGAGCTCAAGAACTCTAGGTCAGCCTAGGCAACATAGCAAGACCCCAGCTCAAATTGAAAAAAAAATTATATTTAAAAATAGATTTGCATTTTTAAGGAATCTAGAGATGTAGCAAAGGATTTGGAGATTCCCAACTCTCCTGAGTTTAAGACAAATACGCTTGACTCTGGAGGGCAGATGTGACTTGGGTGTGCTTTCCACTCAACAGATGGCCCCGGCTGCCATCTTATCCACCTACATGTCACCTGTGTTATGTTAGCCATAACAGACCGTCATCTCCCACCCGAGGATGAAGTACAAAGTGACAGGCTCAGATTCTCCAACTTCCTAGTGGCCTCCACCTCAGTTTTGCTTTCCATCTGAGCAGCAAGAGTGACTGGAAGGTACTGATATCTGACCCATAAATGACTGACGAGCCCCAGTGGTGACCCCGTCACTCTGAAGCTGTCTCCTGAGGCTCACTCAGTTGACTCCATTCACCCCATCAGAAAACAACCTGACAAACCTTACCCATTTCAAATGCACAACATGACAAAATCTTAGCCACACAGTAACTAGCATACAAATATTGCCAATTAAACACAGATACTACCGCAAGAAATTTAATGAAAGCTGGAGTAATTTACGACTAAATAAATAAAATATTCCATTAACAAAATATCTTTTTGTAAGGGCCAATCTGTATTTAGTTTCAACTCATCACTTTGGAGGAGATGTGACACATCTTGTTGAGTTTTCTTTAAATTTTATTTTTTTATAGGGATGGTGTCTTGCTATGTTGCTCAGGCTGGTCTCAAACTCCTGAGCTCATGCCATCTTCCCATCCTGGCCTCCAAAAATGCTGGGATTACAGGTGTGAGCCACTGCACCCAGCCATATCTTGGTTTTATTAGTGTGATCTTTGGCATTTTTATAATTCACAATTAAAAACACATGATTATCTAGGACACAACTACCACAGTCATATTAATTCCTGTAGTAAAAGTCTCCAAACTAAGCTTTTTATTAATCCATTTAAACATAAGCTTTAAGAGACTTCCTAGAAAAATATACATCTATAATAATTTACTTGGATAATTTCTTGCTGGAATAAACATTAAGGTTTTTGGTATTAACTATTTGATAATTTTTAATTTATCAGTACTACTAAAATGCGAATAGCAAACAAAAGCAGCTATCTAGCTATCAAGGTAGGTTTAAAAATAATTATGTTTAGATATCTTCATTTGCAATCTTCTATCAGTAATGTTAGCCCTAAGAAAAGGTATCATTAAACATGTTGTCAGATAACACAGTGGCAGAAATGTGAAAAATATATCAAACTTTAAAAAATATTCACATTTAAAAGAACACTTACTCTTTTGACTCCCTCTAAGAGGATATATCCTGAGTTTTTCAATAATATCAACCATGATCAGGGATAACAGAACCAGAGATACGGGCAGGTCAGGTAACATATCAGGTAAGACATCAGCGGACCCATTAATGCTCTTTTGAACCTGTTTAGAGAAAACCATTTACAAGCATTAAATTATTGTGCTTTCTTTGCTCAAAATGCTTTCAATAGTCTGAATGCAGCACTAAATTAATTATAATTACATTTACTAAAAAACTAGAAGGTTGGTTTTTAACTCATCAGGTTTTAAATGCCACAAGGTTTTGAATCATTTCTAAAGCTGTCATAAGGACTCATATCAATGGAAGCATATTTTCAGTTAAAGACAGACCTTGGTAAATACATGCAAAAAACAGTAGTGGGCTCCCTGTAATATTGAAGGGGTAACTCCTTCCAACTCTACTGCTGAGCAGAGCTTCTAAGAATCCAGCCTCAAAGAGCTAGAAGAACAAATATGAACATTTAGAGTCTTCCAAGAAGACAGAACTCAGATAATTCTGGCTAGACTTTGGGACACTTCCTTCGTCTGCTTAAAATGTTTACAAAAAGCTACGGCAAGGCCAGGTGTGGTGGCTCACACCTATAATCCCAGCACTTTGCGGGGCTGAGGTGGGAGGATTGCTTGAGCCTGGAGCTCGAGACCAACCTGAGCAACAAGGCCAGAACCCAAGTCTATGAAAAATTTAAAAATTAGCTGGGTGTGGTGGCACACATCTTTGGTTCGAGCTACTCGAGAGGCTGAGATGGGAGGATCACTTGAGCCCAGGAGGTCGAGGCTGCAGTGACTAGTGACTGTGACACTGCACTCTAGCTTGGGTGACAGAGCAAGACCCTGCCCCACAAAAAACAGAAACAAAAACAAACCACAATAACAAAAAACTATGGAAAGCATTGTATTAATGATGAAATATTGAAAGTTTTCCCTCTGAAATCAGGAATAAGACAAAGATGCCACCATGGCCACTTCTGTTCAACATTGTCCTGGAGGTCTTAGCCAGGGTAATGCGCCAGAGAATGAAATAAACAGTGTAGGCTGGTTGCAGTGGTTCACACCTGTAATCCCAACACTTTGGGAAGACGAGGCAGGTGGATCACCTGAGGTCAGGAGTTCGAGATCAGCCTGGCCAACTTGGTGAAACCCCATCTTTACTAAAAATACAAAAAAAATTAGCCAGGCATGGTGGCACATGCCAGTGGTCCCAGCTACTCAGGACACTGAGGCAGGAGAATTGCTTGAACCCAGGAGGCAGAGGTCGCAGTGAGCTGAGATCATGCCATTGCACTGGCCTGGGCAACAGAGTGAGAGAAAGAGAGAGAGAGAGAGAGAGAGAGAAAGGAGGTAGGGAAGGAGGGAGGGAGGAAGGAAGGAAAAATGATACTATTCAATGCAACTTCAACCACTGTTGCAACTTTTTGTGGAAAAGGACAGGCTGACAATAAAATTTATATGAAAATTAAAAAGGCAGGAAATTCTGGAAGAAAAAGAATAAGCTAGGAAGATTTACTCTTCTGGATATAAAGAACTAGTATAAAGCTGCAAGAACTAAGACAGTGTAGAGTTGGCATAGGAATTATGTATATCTACACTTGATTTATAACAAAGGTGGCACAGCAGAGAAATGTGGGAAGGATGGATTTTTTAGTAAAATGGTGCTCGGTCCATTGAATGTTATGTGGGGAAAAAAATTAACTCACTGCTGTACAACATATACAAAAATCAGTTCCAGATGTATTGTGAATCTAAAAAAGAATGAAGAAACAATATAGCTTTCAAAATATAATTAGGAGGCTGGGCACAGTGACTCACACCTGAAATCCCAGCACTTCAGGGGTCCAAGGCAGGTAAATCACTTGAGGTCAGGAGTTCAAGACCAGCCTGGCCAACATGTTGAAACCCCATCTCTATTAAAAATACAAACATTAGCCGGGTGTGGTGGCACATGCCTGTCGTCCCAGCTACTTAGGAGGCTGAGAGGTGAGAATCACTTGAACCCAGAAGGTGGAGGTTGCAGTGAATAGAGATTGCACCACTGCAGTCCAGCCTGGGCAATAGGGCAACACTTCATCTCAAAAACAAACAAACAAACAAACAAACAAACAAAAATATATATATATGAAAGATTTTAAGACTTTGAAATTCAGATTCACAATGACAAAATCTTCTACAAGTGAGTGACCCAAGCACTATCCATAAAGGAAAGCAATAAACTGGACTATTTTTAAGTTAAGAACTTCTTTTCATCAAAAAGATATAAAAGTGTGAAGACAAGTTACATAAAGATATTTGCAATACATATAATCAAAAAAGGCTTGTATAATCTGAATATGAAAATAAGTCTTCCAAATACGTTTTTAAAAGATAAGCAACACAATAAAAAATGGGCAAGATGAAAAGATGCTCAACATTGTTAATTACTGGAGAAATGTAATTTAAAAGTACAGTGAGATTCAGGATCGTACCCACCAGAAGAGCTGAAATAAAAAGACACAATGATGCCTGGAGGGGTGCCTCACACCTGTAATCTCAGCATTTTGGGAGGCCGAGGCGGGTGGATCACCTGAGGTCAGGAGTTCGAGACCAGCCTGGCCAACACAGTGAAACCCCGTCTGTACTAAAAATACAAAAATTAGCCCATAGTGGTGGTGGGCACCTGTAATCCCAGCTGATGGGGAGCCTGAGGCAGGAGAATCGCCTGAACCTGGGAGGCGGAGCTTGCAGTGAGCCAAGATCACACGCACCACTGCACTCCAGCCTGGGCAACAGAGAAAGACTCTGTCTCCAAAAAAATAAGAAACAACGCAAGCGCTGGTGAATGCTCCTTCTCTGCTGGTGAGTTCTATAGAGATGCTATAGAAATCAGTACAATCTGTTTGAAAAGCTGTTTGACCTTATCTCTCACAATTTAACATTTCAATATCTCATGATCCATCAGTTCTGCTCCTGCATACATAACCAACAGAAATGCTTGCTCATGCACACCAAAAGACATATTCACAGATGTTCACTGCCGCATTCTCTGTAATTGCCAAAACTGGAAACAACCAAGATGGCGACCAAGAGTAGAACAGATAAGTAAATTATGATCTTTTCATAAAATGTAATACTCTACAGCTGAAAACGAATGAGCTTCAGGTATTTACAGAAACAGGAATGACCCTCACAACCATATTTTAAATAAAAGAAGCCAGACATCATTTGATTTCTCCTTGGAAAAATTTCAAAAACAGACAAACTAGCCTGCAGTATCAGAAGTCAAGTTAGAAGTGACTTCTGGAAAGGAGGGAAAGGGAGTCATTGAAAGGAGCATAAAAAAAGAGTGAGCAAGCAATGGGTTTCTGATACAAAAATAAAATAAAATAATAAATAAAAATAAAGGAGTGTGGGCATGGAGCCGGCCAAAGTTTCCTTCTTGACCTTGACTTGAGCGATGCTTACCCAGGGGGTTGCTTTGTGGTATTCCATTGTTACTGTACTTGTATGTTTCGTGCACTTTTCTGTTTATGTGTTATACTTCGGTGAAAATTAAGTAAGAAAAAAAGGAAAGGAAAGAAAAAGATGTAACAATGGAAGAGACATCATAAAAAAGAGCCAAAAAGGGCTATCGAGCTCCAGATATGCCATCAGTTTACCGCAGTGATGTTTCTTAAAAGGTTGTAAACTAAATTTTTACAGCTTTTGAGAACCTTCCAAATGATTTACAAGGTCTTTGAGAGGGGAAAAGACAGATCTAGATTGAAATATTCCCTGTTGCAGTTCACTGGAAGCAAAGCACATGTGAGTAACCTCCCAAAATTATTCTATGCCTTCATACATTGTCCTAATTTAGCATCTATGATGTATTCTAGCAGCACCTACAATGCATTCTAACAACCATGTAATTTCTAATGTCATACATTACTCGGTACTGCCCTGTCTCACAACACTTGTGATACTTGTTCTAATTGCCTGTTTATTTTTCTCTCTAATGTCAGAAAATTATATGAGAGACTCGGCCATATTTCCTGGGTCCCCTATGCCCTGTACCTAACAGTGCCTGGCCTGTAATATATACTTAATGAATATTTGCTTCACATACAAGTGAAATATCACAAGGTAAATTAAGTAATTTAGTAAATTAAGTATGCTTTGGGAAAATAAAAGTTATCTTCCACAGCACCTTGCAAATCAATAAGATTAGTGGGGCATTCTTCTCTGACCTTCTTGGATAATGAAGTACTTACAAGCCTGAAAGTTCTGCCTAAGATATTCCTGCCCTGCTGGTTTCTATCCAAGATCTTTTGAAGCTATATTTAGTCAAAACATAAACTCAGTATTATTTTCAAATAAATAACACATGCAAATTATTATCAATGGACATCTTATCAAAGGTATTAAAATGTAAGTGGTCCTTCCCTTAGATCTTGTTGTATTCATTTACAATTGAGGACAATCATGAAAAACATCAGGTTGGTAGAAGAAACAAATATAGATCAACTTTCACATTTTTCACTTTTTAAACGTTCAAATATCATTACTGTCTCACACACAAACACAAAATTAATTTTTAAAAATTGGCTACTAGACTTTCCTTCACAATCACAGAGGTAACAATGATCTCAGTACTTTAAATAACATATATTGCAACCTGGAAGAAGATTGGATTACATAGATGTCAAGAAATTTGTTGAGCACGCTGCTCTATCAAATTCCAATAACAAGAAATTATAAAATCTCATAATCTTGTAGCAGAAGAAATCAAAAATTCCATACCTCAGTCACTGCTATGGAAAAGGTGAGGCAGGGCAGTGTGGTGAGGACCACACACATCATCAGAACAGGTCTCCTAGCAAAGGAGAAAAAATAAGCCAAAGCAATCATGGACAAGATCGACAGTTCCTCTTACATTTTGCTAATTTTGCAGTTCCTGTTCCATTCATCTATAGTTTTTCTAAGAAGCTGCTGCTTCCCTATTTCCATTTCCCAAATGTTTGCATATGGCAAAGAGGAACACGCGCAGAAACCAGAATGCTTCTTCTAGAACAAAGGGGTGAGAGATTTCCAAATAATTAGCAAACCACAAACTATTAAAAGCATCAAATCGCAAGTCAAATGACATTCAACATGTTCATAATTCATTAATTAAAATCCTGCCCAAGAGGTCAGGCTGTAGTGACCAACTGAATAAATGAACAGCATGACTTTCAAGTTATATTATATCCCATGTTGTAAAATTTATATTTCAAAAAGTACATTTAGAGATGATAAACTATTAAATATTTAAAGATCACTTAAAAACATTTACATTTTTTTACTAGAACCAAAAAAAACCATACACACATAAAAATGACATAATTTTTCAAACTTGTTTTTGGACCACTTCTTAAACCTTGCATGATCAACCAATCAAATAGCTATTGAGATATAATATGTAGAAAATAGTATATCTTATGACACAGAAAATTTAAATGTGGCCGGGCACGGTGGCTCACGCCTGTAATCCCAGCATTTTGGGAGGCCAAGGCAGGTGGATCACGAGGTCAGGAGATCGAGACCATCCTGGCTAACATGGTGAAACCCTGTCTCTACTAAAAATACAAAATATTAGCCGGGCGTGGTGGCGAGCACCTGTAGTCCCAGCTACTCAGGAGGCTGAGGCAGGAGAACGGCGTGAACCCGGGAGGCAGAGCTTGCAGTGAGCCAAGACTGTGCCACTGCACTCCAGCCTGGGCGACAGAGCGAGACTCTGTCTCAAAATAAATAAATTAATTAATTAAAAAAATAGAAAATTTAAATGTATGTTTAGCATCCTTAATTTATGGGACAAGAAAAGATACCTGCTCAAAGGTTTTCTACAATGAAATATTTACCTCCTCTTTGATTCGTTAATATATATTATGTTAATTCCATTTATATAATGTTTTCTATGTACAAGCAGTGTTGAATGCTTTCAAATTATTAATTTCTCCACAGTCATAAAAAAGAATGAAATCATGTCCTTCGCAGCAACATGGCTGTAGCTGGAGGCCACTATCCTAAACGAATTAACTCAGGAACAGAAAACCAAATACTGTATGTTCTCACTTATAAGTGGGAGCTAAACGTTGGGTACTCATGGACATAAAGGTGGGAATAGACACTGGGGACCATTACAGAGGGGAGGGTGGAAAGGGGTCAAGGGTTGAAAAATTACCTTTTGGGTACTATTCTCACTAACTGGGTGGCAGGATCAGTCACACCCCAGACCACAGCATCATGCAACATACCAGTGTAACGAACATGCACATGTACCTCCTGAATCTAAAATACAAGTTGAAATTATAAAGAATAAAATAATAGAGAACAATTTCTCTTTGGCGCTGTCTTGCCTCCCCCATCCCAGCACCATCTTAGATGTCCTAGGTGTAAATATAAATTAGAAGATGAGATTACCCCTCTCTCATGGCCAGACCCAGTATAACCTGGCTAAGACCAGCCTGATGGAATTTTCAACTGGTAGCTTTGTCTGTTTGTCTGAGCCAAGATCCAAGTTCCTACAACACTAAGTTCTCTAAGTAAGATTGGACAAGCCACTCATAAAGTTCTCTTCTTCTCAACCTGACCTCTAAACGATGACAATGCCCCAGAGATTATTCCCGGGCTTGTTCTTTATCTATATTATCTTCCTGGATTATCTCATCCGTTCCCATTGCTTCAAATACCACTCATTTGCCCAGGACTCCACAATATATTCTGGTGTTTTTCCTGAACTCTGACTTGTCTACCCAACTGTTAGGCACTTCCACTTGGATGGCAAAGACACAACTCAGACTTACCATGTCCGAAACAGAACCCAAGTCCTCCTCCATACTTGTTCCAGCCCATCATCTAATCCTGTCTGATTTACTGCCAAAGTCCACTTCAAACTCCTTTTCTGCCAACACCATAGTTCATCCACTGTCACCTCTCATCTGCCGTATTTCCTAACTGGTTTCCTGTTGGTGGTTCTATTCTTGCCTAGCAACATTGTCTTCACGTTTTTTAAATGAAGTCATGCTTTTAAAATGTAAAACACGTCTTGTCACTGCTCCAATGTTGGGGAAAGGAAGGGGTTATTGGTTAATGGGTATAAAGCTTTAGTCCTGCAAGATGAAAGAGTTTTGTGGATGGATGGTGGCAACAGTCACACAACAATGTAAATGTACTTAATGCCACCGAACTGTACCCTTAAAATGATTAAGATGGTAAATTTCACATTATATGTATTTTATCACAATTTAAAAAAATCTTTGATGAACACACAATGTAATTAGAAGAAAACTGAAACTTATTACCCTAGTCTACATGCTGTACATGATATGGTTTCTCTCTTATTGCTCCTACTCTCATATATAGTATAGGAAACACATACAGGCACACACACACACACACACACACACACACACACATGAGTTGTATACATAGCCCTATGACTACCTAGAAATCTGCTGATTCTTTGTTTATTGTTTGTCATCTTCCTCTTTCCTCATCCCCCGAGGTAAGTTCTGTGGAAGCCCGGACCGTATCTGACTTGTTTGCTACTTTATTTCCAGCAACTAGAATAATGTTTCTGAATCATTTTTGTGCGATGAAACTTCGGAGAATCTAGTGAATCCTATGAAACCTTCTCAGGACAACATTTTTAAATGAGTAAAATAAAATATACAGATTTTTAGAAAATAAATCAATTATATTGAAATTATCCAAATTTTAAAAATTACCTAAAGTCTTTTTTAAAAAAATTGTATACAGTTTATGGTTCTTTTTTAAAGAATTATGTAGTAATCCAAATTCTTTTTAAAGTTTAAACTTGGATGAGAAACAATTTAATCATTTCTTTCATTAACCTCATAACAATATATGTGCCTATCTATGAACACATTGTCTTTTTTTTATTTTCTTTGAAGCAGGCCAGGCCTGGTGGCTCATGCCTGTAATTCCAGCACTTTGGGAGGCCAAGGTGGGTGGATCACTCGAGCCCAGGAGTTTGAGACCAACCTGGGCAACACAGCAAATCCTCGTCTCTACAAAAAAAAAAAAAAAAAAAAAACCACAAAAATTAGCGAGGTGTGGTGGTGTGTACCTGTAGTCGCAGCTACTTGGGAGGCTGAGGCAGGAGAATCTCTTGAACCCCAGGAGGCAGAGGTTGCAGCAAGCCAAGATCACGCCACTGCACTCCAGCCTGGGTGACAGAGCGAGACACTGTCTCAAAAAAAAAAAAAAGATGGGGAGTACTTAAGATCTAGTAAAAATTGTAATCACTCATAATTTCAAGATAGTGAAGATCATAAACCATATACTGAAGTCTCTCCTACAACCGTTGTGACATATGAAAAGATCTGTGATACATGGTCTGAAAAGCTCTATGTAATAAAGTTACAGGTCCTGCTAATATTACTGTGGTTTGTTACCAACATCCACATCAGAAAAGACTGGTAGCTTTCAATTAGAGGTTAATGAAAGAAACAATGTAAATTGTTTCTCATCCAAGTTCAAGAACTTCATGATGCTAGAGAATGTCCAACACATAGTAGGAATTCAATAAATACTAAATGAAGGGACTCATTAATAAATAAATACAACCCAAGTCTATGTTTTATTTAACCAGAAGTTATGTTAATCTGTGTTTGAAAATCTTGACTTACTGCTCGTATATGCTTATATATATATATTTTTTGAGATGGAGTCTTACTCTATCACCCAGGCTGGAGTGCAATGGCTGATCTCAGCTCACTGCAACCTCTGCCTCCCAGGTTCAAGTGATTCTCCTGCCTCGGCCTCCTGAGTAGCTGGGATCACAGGCACATGCCACCACGCCTGGCTAATTTTTGTATTTTTAGTAGAGACGGGGTTTCACCATCTTGGTCAGGCTGGTCTGGAACTCCTGACCTCGAGATCCACCCACCTCGGCCTCCCAAAGTGCTGGGATTACAGGCGTGAGCCACCATGCCCGGCTGGATATGCTTATAATTTGTTGAGTATTATGGGTCAAATGGTGTCTCCCCAAAAAGATATGTTGAAATCCCAAACCCCAGTACTTCAGAATGTGATCTTATTTGGAAATAAGATCTTTACAGAGATAATCAAGTTAAATAAGATCATTAAGGTGGGTCCTAATCCAATATGACTGGTGTTTTTATAAAATTGGGGAAATTTGGTGACAGAGTTGCACAGAGGGAAGACTGTGAAGAAACTCAGGAAGCATATCATGTGATGATGAAGGCAGAAATCACAGTGATGCATTTACAAGCCAAGAAACATCAAAGATTGCCAAAAAAAAACAACAGAAGCAAGGAGAAAGACATGGAACAAATTCTCTCTCATATCCCTCGGAAGGAAGCAATCCTACCAATATCTTGATCTCAGTGTTTTCAGCTCTGGAATTTTGAGGCAATAAATTTCTGTTGCTCAAGCCATCCAGGTACTTTGTTGTCGCATTTCTAGGAAACTTAACGCCAATTTTGCGACTGCAATGTGGAATGCTGCTGTAACACCTAAAGATGTAGAAGTGGCTTTGGAGTTGAGGAATGAGTAGAGACTGGGAGAGTTGTGAGAAGCACAATAGAAAAAGCCTAGATTGCCTTGAAGAGACTGTTGGTAGAAACACAGGTGTTAAAGGAGATTCTAGTGAGGGCTCAGAAAGAAAAGAGGAGGGATATAGAGAAAGCTGTTAGCATCTTAGAGAGTAGATACATTGTCATGAACAGAGTATTGCTAGAAATATGAATGCTAAGGTGCTTCTGGTGAGGTTTAAGATGGAAATGAGGAACATATTATAGGAAACTGGAGGAAGGGTGATCCTTTCTATGAAATGGCAGAAAATTTGGCTGTACCGTGCTCTGTTGGATAGAAAGTAGAACTTGTAAGTAATGAACTGAGATATTTAACCGAGGATGTTTCTAAGCAAAGTGTTGAAGGCACAGCCTGTTTCCTCCCTGCTGTTTACAATAAAATGTGAATGAAGAAAGAGAGATAAGTTGAAAAAGGAATTTTTAAGCAAAAAGGAACTAGAACTTGAAGATTTGACAAATTCTCAGGCTATCCATATTGCAAATGATAAGAAACTATGCTCAGAAGAGAACACCAAGGCTGTGGTTTGTGAATCCAGTCAACCATCTCAGCAGAAATACTGCTGTCTTGGACTGAAGGTTGCAGAGGTAAGATGAAATGAAGGAATGCTGTTGGACTTCTAGGACTCCAGGGAGAAAATGGGTTGATGGAGCTATTTGGCTGCAAATGTGTTATCTTTCAGAAAAGGGAAAAATGACTTTGACAGTGGTTCCAAAGCCAGGGAGACTGGTGCTGCAACCACAAGCCCAGAGGCGCCCAACTTAAAACCACAGGGCAGAGCTATGACCATGCAAGGCTGAGGGGTTGGGGCCACTACAGTCATAGGCCTGGATGATGGGCTCAGGAATCAGCATCAAGACACAGAGGATTATTTTTAAACCTTAAAAGCTAACGGGATTTTCCTTCCTAGCTTTTGAACTTGCATGGGACCCACGACTCCTGTTCCCCTTCCAATTTCTCCCTTTCAGAATGGTAATGTCTATCCTGCTCCACCATTGTATGTGGGAAGCAAGTAACTTTTTGTCCAGCTTCACAGGTTTGCAGATGGAAAGAAACTCTGACCCAGGAGGAATCATATCCCAAGTCTTGCCTATACCTTGTTTGGATGATTTTGAGGGAAAGTTTTGGGATTTTGAGTTGATGATGTGTAGTTGAGATTTGGGACTTAGAGTTGATGCTGGGATGATTAGGACTTTTGGAGGTGTTGAGATGAATGAGTCTATTTTGCACACCAAAAGAACATGAATTTTGGGAGGGTCAGAGAGTGAAATCCTATGGGTTGAATTATATACCCCAAAACAGACATGTGTAAGTCCCAGCCCCCAGTACCTCCGAATGTGACCTTATTTGTAAATAGGTCTTTATGGAGGTCATCAAGTGAAAACAGGGTGTAAGGGGAGACTCTGATCCAATATGACTGGTGTCCTTTTAAAAAGGGAAAATCTGGGGCTGGGCGTGGTGGCTCGTGCCTGTAATTCCAGCACTTTGGGAGACTGAGGTGGGCAGATCACAAGGTCCAGAGATCAAGACCATCCTTGCCAACATGGTAAAATCCCATCTCTACTAAAAATACAAAAATTAGCTTGGCATGGTAGTGCGCGCCTGTAGTCCCAGCTACCCGGGAGGCTGAGGCTTGAATCTGGGAGGCAGAGGTTGAGGTGAGCCAAGATCGCACCACTGCACTCCAGCCTGGGAGACAGAATGAGACCCCGTCTCAAAAAAAAAAAAAGGGAAAATCTGAAAACAGACATGCAGGTGGGGAAGACTAAGCGAGGACACATAGGAAGAATGCCATGTGAAGATGAAGGCACAGATCAGAGTGATGCATCTACAGGTCAAGGAACACCAAAGATTGCCAGCAACCACCAACAGCCAGGAGAGAGGCACAGAGCCTTCCTTACTTACATCTCTCACAAGGAACCAACCTTGCCGTCAGCTTGATCTTAGACTTCTCACCTCCAGAACTTTCAGGTATTTCAGAATTTGAAACAAATTTCTGTTGTTTAAGCCACCAAGTTTGTGATACTTTGTTATAGCAGTCCTAGGAAGTACTACAAATAACAGAATTTAGGTTGGAAATACAACAGACACTTCTTTGAAAGACTATTCATGCTGCAAAGAATGCAAGTTTGCGACCACAGTAGGATTGGCTAAAGAAAAGGATACGTGGGCATGGTGTAATTTCCACATGAAAGACTGAGTTAGGGTACTGCCGATAGATCTCTGTGTGCATCATAATAAACTGGCAATGAGAGGGACCCTCCTAGGAATGGGACCTATTAACGATGAACTCAGTAAGCTCAGCCACATTGGGTTACAAATTCCTGTTTGTGCAGCAAGGATTCTGGCCCTGAGATTTCTCATAGAGGAAGCATGGTGGGTGGAAAGGATCAGATGAGAACTTGGGAGATGACACTCTGCTCAGAAACATAAAACTTTTTACCTAACTCATGAAGTTAACGTTTCCCTGCCCATCTTTCAAGGCTCTCCAAAATCTAGTATTAACATTCCAACATATATTAACACTCAGCTCTTTACGACAACTCAATGAGTTCATATCATGCCACAGGCTAAGCGCTACAGGAAATAATTTTACATACGACAACCCCACAACAACCCTCTGAGTGAGGTATCAACCCTTTTTTTACAGGTGATGAAACTGAGGTTGAAGGCTGAATTAATTTGCCCAAGATCCTGTGGCTGGGAAGTGAAAGATGAATTCTAATCCAGGTCTTGAGGACTCCAAAACTCACGCCCCTAACCACTCTGCGATGCTGCCAACCCATTTCTCACCACCTGCTCCTTTCTAAGCAAGTAGGTCTTTTCCCACCTCTTAAATAATTCACTATATCAACTCATTCCTCATACTCATCCTCCTCCTCTGGATGCCCTCCCACACCCATCTTTCCAAGCTCAGTGAAAATCAAGATTTCCTTATGAGACTTTCTCTGATTACTCCAAAGCACAGTGTTTTTCTAATAAGCCTGAGTCCATAAACCACATGTGCTAAAAAGCTGCTGACTTCAAGGCACTGTAGTGGGCTGATGGGGCAGGGTAGAAAGGGATGGGTAGGAAGGATGAATCAAATAGGACATCTCCCTTACTGTCAGCATTGAGGGTTTTCTTTTCTTTTTTTAATAGAAAGACAGGGTCTTGCTATGTTGCTGAAGCTGGTTTCAAACTCCTGGCCTCAAGTGATCCTCCCACCTCAGCCTCCCAAGTAACAGAGACTACAGTCATGCACCACCATGCCCAGGTAACTTTTTTTTTAACGTCCTGTAGAGACAGGGTCTCGCTGTGTTGCCCAGGGTGGTCTCAAACTCCTGCTCTCAAGCAATCTTCTTGCCTCAGCCTACCAAGTCTGTGCCCAGTAAGCACTAAGTTTTGATGATGCTCTTCTCTGGGATATTAAAGGACTAGTGGTGGGTCACATAAAATTTGGTGGTTTGTTATAAATTGGTTTATATCATTTTCTAGTTTCTTCATATGCAACTATCCAGACTCCACAGTGGACTACAGAGTCCCTGAGGATGGAGGCAGTACCTGAGCACAAAGGCTTGTACCTGCAGTAGCCTGGAAATAATGCTGGCTAACATGAAGAATTCGTGTAGGGAGGCTGGGCATGGTGGCTCATGTCTATAATCCAAGCACTTTGGGAGGCCGAGGCAGATGGATTGCCTGAGTTCAGGAGTTCGAGACCAGCCGGGCAACCTAGCAAATCCTGTCTCTACAGGAAATTTAAAAATTAGTCAGGTGTCATAGTGCACACCTGTAGCCCAGCTACTCAGGGAGGATCACTTGAGCCTGGGAAGTTGAGGCTGGAGTGAGCTATGATCATGCCACTGCACTCCAACCCGGGTGACAGAGCAAGACCCTGTCTCGACAAAAACCTAAATATATATATTTATATATAATAAAACCTAAATATATATATATATGTATGTGTGTATATATATATATATATATATATATATATATATATATATATATATGAAATTCAGATAGGTAAATATATACCTATTTAAACAAACCCATAGAGCAGACTCATGGATCACTATTAACCCAGAGGATTTCTAGTAAAACTAGGTTTAGTCAATCATACACTCTGTTATGAAATAGGTGACATCATTGCAGTGGAAGCCAATTGCATTATATCAATACACGAAGTCAGTAGCCACATCAAGAGGACATCAGGGTGTCACTGAGATAATATCGAGGCATTAAAAATCCAGCCAGCATCCCAAGGAGACTTTCAAAAGAGTCAAAGGTCCAGAAATCATGGGATAGGAATGGTTGATGGAACTCTGCCCATTGGAGAAGAGAAAACTTAGCAGACTGAGATGTGGCGTGGTTGAGATGGCAGAATGATGCCACTGCCTTCAAATGTTGCAAAAATTTAACAAGGATACAGTAAGCTCAGAGAAGTCACCCCTGGAGACACAATTTGGGGAGCTGTCACCATACAAGTGGCAGTTTATATTATGCGAGCTGATGGGAGTGTTCAAAAAGCAATAGAAATGGGGAATTAGGCAGTAATGTGACAGCTCCTGGCCATGGAGAAAGAAAGGGCAGAGGAGGTGAAGTCTACAAAGTGGATGAGAAAGAGAGCTATATAGTGATAGGTATTGTTTCAACACAAGGTAATAAAGAAGGCTGTTCTACGAAGAGCCACAGAAAGTAGTGAGTTCTCTGTAGAATCAGAGGTATTTGTATTGTGAGAAATCATTTTGAAGACGAACAGTAAGAGTTTGCCCAGCTCCAGGATTCTGTGGAATAATGTCAATATTTGATTTACAAGCAAGGGGAAGAGGAGATTTTTAAGGGGTGCGGCTGAGATACAGAAAACTTCCTTTTCTTTTTTTTTTTTTTTTTTGAGACATAGTCTCACTCTGTCACCCAGGCTGGAGTGCAGTGGCACGATCTCAGCTCACTGCAAACTCTGCCTCCCGGGTTCCAGCGATTCTCCTGCCTCAGCCTCCTGAGTACCGGGGACTACAGGCATGAGCCACCACACCCAGCTAACTTTTGTATTTTTTAGTAGAGATGGGGTTCCACCATGTTGGCCAGGCTGGTTTTGAACTCCAGACCTCAAGTGATCCATCCGCCTCGGCCTCCCAAAGTGCTAGGATTACAGGTGTGAACCAGCACGCCTGGCCCAGAAAACTTTTTTTAAGGAGAGAATTACCTTATTGACAAGGACTGGGAGGGAATGCAGGGGGGAGAAAAGAAGCAAGAGGCAAGAAGACCAGTGGGTGAAGGTTGCCAGAGCCCAAACGTTAGTTAATGAAATGGTCTTCATTTTTCCTTGAACAGAAACAATCAGGACGAATCAGGTCTGACACTGGATTTGAATATATGAAAATTTGGGGGACCACGTCAGAAACTCAAGTTTTGATGGTCTGGAAATAAGGGCCTAATTGGGATGAGAGAAACAGCCATGGAGAACAAGGAGCTGATGCAAGAGAGAGGAAGAGGAAGAATTACCAGAATGTGGTGACTTCCTGCATAGGATAAGGAGAGAAAAGAAAAAGTAAATAAGCTCGTGCTGGTTTACAGTGTGATACGGCTTGGCTGGGTCTCTACCCAAATCTCATCTTGAATTGTAGCTCCCAGAATTCCCACATGTCATGGGAGGGACCTGGTGGGAGGTAATTGAATAATGGGGGCGGGTCTTTCCTGTGCTGTTCTTGTGACAGTGAATACGTTTCACGGATCTGATGGTTTTATAAAGGGGAGTTGCCCTGCACATGCACTCTTGCCTGCTGCCATGTAAGACATGACTTTACTCCTTATTTGCCTTCAGCCATTATTGTGAGGCCTCCCCAGCGATGTGGAACTGTGAGTCCATCAAACCTCTTTCCTTTATAAATTACCCAGTCTCAGGTATGTCTTTATTACCAGCATGAGAACAGACTAATACACTGGATATAGTAGGGCAAGGAAGATAAAGCCTGCAGTCAACTATGACAAAATTATTGATCTTTTTCATGTATAATGCCCAAGACCAAACTGTAAAGGAAATGTGGATAGCTTAAACTACGTGAAAAATAAAAATTCTCCATATCAAAAACACCAAAGTAAAATTAAAAGACTAATGATAACTCTGAAATGTATGCTACATCAAATTCAACATACTTATTGTTTGATGATCTTGTGCAATTTAAGCAAATGAACATCCTTAATGTTTACAGAACTCGTAAATCAGTAGCAAAAAAAAAAAATGGACATACCAACAGAAAAAGAGATCAAGGACAAAAATATATGATTTTTAGAAAATACAAATAGTCAATAAATCTATGAGAAAATGTTAAACATGGTAGATAACAGATTCACTAAGAGAAACTGGAGTGTTCTGAGAAGTAACTGGTAAGCAGCAGTGTTTAGTTAATGGGGTCTTACCAATTAATGATCTCTCAGAGGTGCTGAAAGGTGAGTTCCATTTCCTTCAGGTTAGCCCGTGTGTCCAGCAGTGCACAGATGTCACTAGTGCTGTGTGTTTCAGTTGTCAGGGCCAGCGCGGAGCAGTGAGGTGCTCAAGGCTCCCTCGGGGCAATCTTTTTTTTTTTTTTTTTTTTTTTTTTTTTGAGACGGAGTCTCGCTCTTTCGTCCAGGCCGGACTGCAGCGGCGCTATCTCGGCTCACTGCAAGCTCCGCCTCCCGGGTTCACGCCATTCTCCTGCCTCAGCCTCCCGAGTAGCTGGGACTATACAGGCGTCCACCACCACGCCCGGCTCATTTTTCTGTATTTTTAGTAGAGACGGGGTTTCACCGTGTTAGCCAGGATGGTCCCCTTGGGGCAGTCTTGACTCAACTACTCATTGGCTCTGTGATCTTCTAACTCCTGTGCCTCAATCTCCTCATTTCTAAAGGGGAGACTATCATTGTTCTTGCATATCAAGATTCGCAAATCAACTAAAATAATACAGACAATGTGTTTAAAATTATGCCTGGTACATAGTACTTGCTCAATAAATATTTGCTCTTACTTTACTGCAACTACAACAGCTACTACTACTATGATCACCACCACCGTTACCTAAAGCAGATCAAGAGCAAAATCTCATGGAATATGTTAAAACCTTAAGCCAGGTAAAATGTTGCCCAAAATGGTCTTTTAAACTTGCCCTGCCCAGGATTCCTGACGTGTTCATAGTCTGAATTAATTGTACTCCAAAGGACTCAAAAGAACACCCAAAATATAGCTCTAGGTCCCAAGACAGTCTGGGAACCTCCACAAATATTCTAGGATTATCCTACTGCCAATGTACCTTCTCAATGAAGATCTGCTCCAGTTTCAGGCTAGCCTTGTAGCTCAATGTTATCACACATCTACTGATATTCCAGGAAAATAACTCTCTTATTTCCTGGAATACACAGTTTGGTGTGTATATAAATAGCTTTCTTCATTCCCCCAACCATCTCACTTGTTTATTATGAATTCTGGCAGGCATCCCTAGAATGGAGCCATAATTCCAGAAAAATCAGGAAGTGTTAATGAGAGAAGGGGAAAGTACTGGATTAAAGTTCAGCCTCCAGTACATTTTAAGCTCTCTGAAATTGTTTCCTCCCTCATAAAATGGGAATTATGTCTGCTTGGTCAACTTTACAACACTGGCATGGAGGCCTAGTGAGAACATGAAATGAAAACCATAACATAATAAAACATAAATATGACATAAAATAACACATAATACCTCTGTTAATGTAAAACATTTCTGAGATACTAATGATCTCACCATTCTGGTGTTCATTCTTCTCAAAGAATAAAAGAAACCTACAAAATTCTCCAAAATCGAGGAATATTACTCACAGGATATATTTTCCTTCAGTTTTATTGCCACTTCTACCACTTTTCAGAGTCATTCTGAAGATTTAACACGATCACATTTTTAATGAAAATAGTAAATTCAGTTTGAGGTCATAACACTTATATTCAATGAATGATTACTACAGACCAGTTGCTATGCTAGGAACTTTACACGCATGATCTTATGAAATTTCTTAAAACAGCACTCCAAGAAAGAAACTAAGTTGTCTCTGTTTTGCTCACGAAAAAATTAAGGCTCAAAGAATTCAAATAACTCACATAAGGTTTCATGGTCAATGTCAAGGCTAGGATTTGAATCCAGGCCAGTTTTCCTTTACATATATTCCTGGGGCACACCATTTACTGACTGATGACTCACTCTCTCCTGAAGACCAGCCTCACAGGGCTCATGACACCAGCCTGGACCTTCAGGGAAGCTCTCAGATAAGCCTCATCAACATCAAATCATGAATGTTCAGGGTCTATGAAATTTCACATAAACAACTATTTGACTATTCCTCAAAAATAATTCATATGCTCAATCCTTACTTTGTCTAGTAGCAATTATTTTTGCATCATCTTCATGTAGCAATCAAGACATGACACCCTATATATTACCCCATATATTATAAGAGCCAAATGCACTCTGGGTGAAATTATGTTAATGACATTAAAAGCACTGCATTTTTCTGGCTGCACCTGGTGGCTTACGCCTGTAATCCCAGCACTTTGGGAGACCAAAGTGGGCGGATCACTTGAGGTCAGGAGTTGGAGACTAGCCTGGCCAATATGGTGAAACTGTGCCTCTACTAAAAATAAAAAAATTAGCCAGGCGTGGTGGCGCACACCTGTAATCCCAGCTACTCAGGAGGCTGAGATGAGACAATAGCTTAAACCCCAGAGGTGGAGGTTGCAGTGAGCGGATATCATGCCACTGCATTCTAGCCTGGGCAACAGAGTAAGACTTCATCTCAAAAAACACAAAACAAAACAAATAAACAAAAAAAGCATTGCATTTTTCTTGAAACACACCTGGCATTCAAAGTCAGAAAAAATAAAGGAAAAGAAAATTGTATGAGATACAGGAAATTGTATGGAATCAGACAGACCTAGGCTCACAAATCCTAGCTCCCCCATTACATAGCTTTTTTTTTTTTTTTTGAGACAGGGTTTTGCTGTGTGACCCAGGCTAGAGTGCAGTGGCATGATCTCAACACACTGCAGCCTTGATCTCCAGGGCTCAAGTGATCGTCCCCCTTTAGCTCCCAGAGCAGCTGAGACTACAGTCACGTACCACCATGCCTGGCTAATTTTTTAATTTTTTTGTAGAGACAGGGTCTCACTACGTTGCCTAGGCTGGTCTTGAACTCCTGTGCTCAAGCGATCCTCACACCTAAGCCTCTCAAAGTCTTGGGATTACAGGCAGGAGCTACCATGCCTGGCTCCACTTGCTAGCTTTATCAGTTGACAAAGTTAATTACTTCAAGTTTCAGTTTCTTTGTCTATAAAATGAGAACTTTAGCATGTACACTTCGCTGAGTTGTTGTAAAGTTTAAACTTAACAGTACAGAAGGTGTAAAGCTCCTAGAACAGTGCTCAGTGGCTGCTTCTCTTCTATGCCAGTAAAAGATAACTATATGATAATGCTCACGAATGTGGCCAGAAGGAAACAGTTTCAGTTTCACTGAAATTACAGATAACCTGTCCACTGTCTAAACACTATTTAAAACACGTGTGGCCAGCAACACCGGCAAAACAGAAACTAAAGACTGGAAGTGTATTTCCCAAAAGAAATCACTGAGAGATGTAGTCATGACAACCCGAAACACTTTAGCACAGGGGAGGTACCTGAGCCAGATGCACAACATGAAATCTGAACAGACACCAGAGATGACTGGTATACCACATGCACTAAGGGGCAGAAACAAAAGCCTACTCTGTTCCTTAACTCTCAATTGCCCCAGGAGAATGGGACCTTGTCCTTCAAAGAGGCAGTTTGGGACAGTGGCTAGAAGTACCCATTATGGAGTCAGGTAGACCTAGGTCCAAAGTCTGCCTCTTCCACTCTGTCTAGTTCACTGACTTTGGGAGAGCTGCTGAAACTCTCTAATCGGCAATTTTCTCTAGGCAATAATAACGATAAACTCATAAAAATTCTACTTTAGGCTGGGCACAGTGGTTCATGCCCGTAATCCCAGCACTTTGGGAGGCTGAGGCGGGCAGATCACTTGAGGTCAGGAGTTCGAGACCAGCCTGGCCAACATGGGGAAAATCCATCTCTACTAAAAATACAAAAATTAGTCGGGTGTGGTCGTGCACAACTGTAATCCCCACTACTCAGGAGGCTGAGGCAAGAGAATCGTGTGAACCTGGGAGGCAGAGGTACAGGGAGCCTAGATCGCTCCTCTGCACTCCAGCCTGGGCAACAGAGCTAGACTCCATCTCAAAAAGAAAAAAAATACTTTATGAGGTGAAGTAGATATTTCTCTGTCTTTTTGTTTTTCAGAGTTGGGGGTCTCCATCTGTCACCCAGGCTAGAGTGCAGTGGCACAATCATAGATCACTGCAGGCTCAAACTCCTGGGCTCAAGCCAACCTCTTGAATAGCTGGGACTACAGGCGTGCACCACCACATCCTGCTGATTTTGTAATGTTTTGTAGAGACGAGGTCTCACTATGTTGCCCAGGCTGATCTCTAACTCTGGGCTTCAATCAATCCTCCCACCTTGGCCTCCCAAAGTGTTGGGATTAAAGGTGTAAGCCACTGTGCCTGGCCTATGAAGTACGTGTTTCTGTACCACCTCATATCAGTACTTACATGGCACATAATCAGTGATCTATAAAGAATCAATTATAGCCTAATAATAATAACAGTAAGTTATATGGGAAGGTTTGCTGCCTAAATGACATTCAGAATCTAGAGTCTTAGGGATTTGAGTCAATGTGAAAACAAAAAACCAAAATACAAAAAAACCCAAGAGCTTCTTCCTGGGCTGTGGTGGGCCAGTTTCCCATTGGTTTATTCCTGTTGTCATTTGAACCTTCCACCATTCCCTCAAAATTCCAACCCAGCCAGGAATCTTGGACAGTCAAAGCCACCCCTACAGGGTGTGAGAGGTGGAGGGTCAAGCCCAGCTCCAAGCTACCCCTTAGGTGACCCTGGGGCTCTGGTCAAGGTTTGGAAAGCCCCTAAACCCTACTGATAAAAGCAGTGCCAACAACATAATGCTTTATTTCCAGAAACCCCTTAAGACCCCTGCTTTCGGGAAAATGAAAGTCTCCTGGCAAGGTTCGCAGAAGTAGCCACATCTGGGATCGGTACCTAAAGACAGCACCATGAACTTCACATGTCAGCTCTCCATCAGCATCCTCCCAACCTCAGCAATGGTATTTCTAGCTCTATTGCAGAGTCTATTATTTTTACATTTCTGCCCTTGCGTGGATGTGCAAATTCCCAGTGCCTCACTTTTCACATGTGTTCTATGTCATTCGCTTTCAAAATAAAACATCGGCCGGGAGCAGTGGCTTATGCCTATAATCCCAGCACTTTGGGAGGCCGAGGCAGGCAGATCACCTGAGGTCAGGAATTCAAGACCAGCATGGCCAACATGAAGAAACCCTGTCTCTATTAAAAATACAAAAAAAAAAAAAAACATTAGCCGGGAGTGGTGGCAGGACCCTGTAATCCCAGCAACTCAGGAGGCTGAGGCAGGATAATTGCTTGAACCCAGGAGGCGGAAGTTGCAGTGAGCTGAGATCGTGCCACTGCACTCCAGCCTGGACAATAAGAGTGAAACTCTGTCTCAAATAAATAAATAAATAAATAAATAAATAAAACATCAGTATGAAAGAAAAATTAGCTTATATTAACTTATTAAAGAAAAGAGAGAAGTCCAAGATGAGTAAGAATCAGATCTGAAGATCTAAAAGGAAAAATACATTAATATCAGAGACTATTTGTTCTCAATACCCTTATGTGGATCAGTATACCCATTAGCTAAACTGCTAGTTAAATTAACATTAAATCCTGATTTATTTAAAATATCTCTGTATTGTTATTGAAGTACTTTCCTCCCCTACAAGGGTAACAGAATTTACCAACACAGTAAATTATTTATTTTTAAAGTCTAAGTAGGCCAGCTTTGGCAGCTCACGCCTGTAATCTCAGCACTTTGGGAGGCCAAGACGGGTGGATTGTTTGAGCCCAGGAGTTTGGAACCAGCCTGAGCAATGTGGCAAAACCTCATCTTTATAAAAAACACAAAAAAAGTAGCCGGGTGTGGTGGTGTGCACCTGTAGTCCCAGCTACTCAGGAGGTCGAGGTAGGAGGATCACCTGAGCCCCCTGGGGAGGTTGAGGCTGCTGTGAGCAATGATCACGCCACTGCACTCCAACCTGGGCAACAGAGCCACACCCAGTCTCAAAATAAAAAATAAGTAAATAAAAAGTCTAAAGGAACCAGTTGTTTTAAAAGTCGTAGTTAATGGTCAAAGTATGACGTAAGCCTGCAAAATGCAATGTAAATAATTAAAAATAGACATTACTTTCAGTTTTACGCAAAATTAAAATTCTACATTACCATCTTCTGATTATGAGTTGTGTAAGCTCACTCCGATAAGTTTATGTAATTTAGTGTCCAGGAGAATTAAGTCCAACATTTACTACTTAGAATAGCATGAACTGGCACAAACTCCAGTCTTACTAACCCATCTCATGTGTTATTATCACTCAGTATAAATGACTGTAGAAAAATTAAGGAAGATACCATAATATCCATACATTCACAGAAGCAGTAATTGTAGCCTCCCATTAATGTCACATTCTATCCTTACGCTCTGCTCACATCCTTACCCACAGTATGTTAGAACATATCTTTCAGGAATACTTATACACTGTTAGTGGGAGTCTAAATTAGTTTAACCATTGTGGAAGACAGTGTGGTGATTCCTCAAAGACCTAAAGACAGAAATACCATTCGACTCAGCAATTTCAATACTGGGTATATACCCAAAGGAATATAAATCATTCTATTATACAGACACATGCACCCGTATGTTCGTTGCAGTACTATTCACAATGGCAAAGACAGGAAACCAACCTAAATGCCCATCAGTGATAGAATGGATAAAGAAAATGTGGCATATATACTTTATCGAATGCTATGCAATCATGAAAAAGAACAAGATCATGTCCTTTGCAGGGACATGGATGGAGCTGGAGGCCATTACTTTTAGCAAACTAACGCAGGAACAGAAAACCAAATCCCACATGTTCTCATTTATAAGTGGGAGCTAAATGATGAGAACACATGCACACACAGAGGGGAACAACACACACCGGGGCCTTCCAGAGGGTGAACGGTGGGAGGGAGAGGATCAGGAAAAACAACTAATAGGTACTAGGCTTAATACCTGGGTGATGAAATAATCTGTACGACAAATCCCCATGACACAAGTTAACCTATGTAACAAACCTGCACTTAAAAGTTAAAAGTCAAACAACAGACAAACAAACAAATATATCTTTGAAAGCATCACGGGGATTCCCTGCTAAGGAATTCTTTTACAGGCTGGGCGTGTTGGCTCACTCCTGTAATCCTAGCACTTTGGGAGGCCAAGATGGGTGGATCATTTGAGGTCAGGAGCTCGGGACCAGCCTGGCTAACATGAAAACCCCGTCTCTACTAAAAGTACAAAACTTAGCTGGGCATGGTGGTGCATGCCGGTGAAATAATCTGTACAACAAACCCCTAATGACACAAGTTAACTTATGTAACAAACCTGCGCTTTTACCCCTGAACTTTAAAGTTAAAACAAACAACAAACAAAAAAACAAACAAACAAACGTATCTTTGACAGCATCATGGGGATTCCCTACTAAAGAATTCTTCTACAGGCCGGGCATTGTGGCTTCTGCCTGTAATCCTAGTACTTTGGGAGGCTGAGGCAGGCAGATCACTTGAGGTCAGGAGTTCAAGACTAGCCTGGCCAACATGGCAAAAACCCGTCTCTACTAAAAATGCAAAAATAAGCCAGGTGTGGTGGTGTGCGACTGTAATCCCAGCTACTCAGGAGGCTGAGGCAGGAGAATCACTTGAACCCAGGAGGCGGACGTTGCAGTGAGCCAAGACTGCCCTACTGCACTCCAGCCTGGGTGACAGAGCGAGACTCCAAATCAAAAAGAAAAAAAAGAAAATTCTTTTACTTACCATCCTTTAATTTTTCTGTAAATATAACGTTTCTTGTGCAGGATAACTTTTACAGGAACCCAGATCAGTAGAGTCACTAACGCAACATAGGCAATAGAACAGGAGATGATCAGCCAGTAGTGTGTGTTGTCAGATCTAGCCCTTGTTCCTTGGTAGGCGGTGGCAAACTGTTCTGTGATCACGAGTGTGGGGATGGAGAAAGCGGCAAACTCTAGGAGCTCAAAAACCACGAACTTAATGAGCCTTCCAGAAGCCATCCTGAGGAAAAGCAAGCTGCCAAGAACCTGGGACTCCCTCTTTGACTGTGGGCAGCATATGGACCCACAGACACTGAACTGGGATCAAGTTCCTTGTCCTCGAATCGCTAACCAGTGACTTTTTATTCTTTTATTGACCCTCATATGGTTCAATGATCTCCTAACTTAACAACCGTGGTCTCTTAAAGGAACAGGACCATTGTGGAAGTGATCACTCAACATATTTGCACATCCATTATTAGAAGTCAAATGAACTTTAGAGCATGCCCGGGAGCATGGGTAAAAGCAGGGTTTTAAAAAGGTGTTTATTGCTAACGTTAGCACAAAACCATTTGTGTGATAGTCAATTCTTGTTAAGTAAAACTGCTGGAATAATATAATTTTAGAGTTAAAGGGGAATAGATAGAATCCAACCCTCTATTTTTACATAAAAGCAAATTCAGGCAAAGGGAGATACTCAAACCTAAGTCTTCATCTTGGAAAACCATCCCTCCCTTTCAAGTGCTTGAAAAGGGAGTTTGTATTCACTTTATCAACTCTCTAACCAGGATTCTCCCTAATACTTAAGATATTTATTCATTATTGTGCATTAGTTGCCATATAACACAAATTAATGTTATTTTTGTTTTGCTGCACAGGAAACTGAAATGGTGACATTAGAAGCCTGTTATCAAGATTTACACATTAACAGCTATCTGTGACTAGCTCAAATGCATATCAAATGTTTAAAGAATGACAATTGTCTCCATGAATATCCTTCCTTTGAAAAACATACTTGAGACCGGGCATGGTGGCTCACACCTGTAATCCCAGCACTTTGGGAGGCTGAAGCGGGCAGATCACCTGAGGTCAGGAGTTCGAGACCAGCCTGGCCAACATGGTGAAACCTCGTCTCTACTAAAAAATACAAAAATTAAGGCCAGGCACGGTGGCCCACACCCGTAATCCCAGCACTTTGGGAGGCTGAAGCAGGCAGATCACCTGAGGTCAGGAGTTCAAGATCAGCCTGACCAACATGGTGAAACCCCATCTGCACAAAAAACGAAAAAAATACAAAATTAGACGGGTGTGGTGGTGCATGCCTGTAATCCCAGCTACTTGGGAGGCTGAGGCACGAGAATCGCTTGAATCTGGGAGGTGCGGAGGTTGCAGTGAACCGAGATTGCACCATTACAATCTAGCCTGGGCAACAAGAGCGAAACTCCGTCTCAAAAAAAAAAAAAAAAAGCAAAAATTAGAGGGGCGTGGTGGCACATGCCTGTAATCCAGCTACTTGGGAGGCTAAGGCAGAAGAATCACTTCAACCAAGGAGGCTGAGGTTGCAGTGAGCTGAGATCATGCCACTGCACTCCAGCCTAGGCAACAGAGCAAGACACCTTCTCAAAAAAAAAAAAAAAAAAAAGAAAAGAAAAACATACTAGAGCACTTACAATGAGCATTTTAGTATGTGTTAGGGTGTGAAGATGAATGAATGACAGCAGTTCCTGTTCTGAAAGTGCTTGAGGTCCAATGGAGGAGATAAAATGAGGAACCACAACAAAAAACCAAGGCCAGAAGAGTGTAAATGAAGTGCTACAGGGACACAGGTGAACTTCACCTTGCTTCACCTTGGGGTTGTGGGAAGAGGATGGGCACATAAGCACGGTCAGGATGGACGGGGGCACTGTGGTGTCGGTGACATTTCAGACACAGCCAAGGAGGCTGCAGGGGTTAGTGAAAATCTGGTGTGGCACAGCAGGAAACAGGAGGAGGCAATGTTAGAAAAATAGTTTGGGGGCCAGGTGGGGTGGCTCATACCTGTAACCCCAGCACTTTAGGAGGTCAAGGTGGGTTGATAGCTTGAGGAGGCCAGGAGTTTGAGACCAGCCTGGGCAACATGGTGAAACCTCTTCTTTACAAAAAATACAAAAATTAGCCAGGCACGGTGTCGCTTGCCTGTGGTCTCAGTTACTCCAGAGGCTGAGGTGGGAGGATTGCTTGAGCCTGGGAGGTTGAGGCTGCAGTGATCTGTGATCGTGCCACAGCACTCCAGCCTGAGCAACAGAGCGAGACCCTATCTCAAAACAACAACAACAAAATAGGTTGAGGTAAGAATGGCGTGTCCCATTAAGGATTTGGTGGGGGTGTGTAGCCGGCAGTGAAAAAGCAAGGTTTTCTGAACACAGCAGTCCTTTGGTCATCTGGAAAGGAGGTTCAATGCTGATGTGGAGGAAGGACAGAGCAGTGTTACCCTGGAGGCAGGAGTACAGCTGGGAACCAGAGAGGAGCCTGGGCTAGAGGTAAGAGCCCCCTGGCCAACACAAATGGAGCGGGAGTGATGAGGGAGGCGACGCAGCAGCAGACATTGAGCCCCGTCCCTTCTGTGGCTTTCCCTGTACCTGCTGTCACACTGATGCAGACCTGTATTTCTCTAGGCTTCTCTCTCTCAAGGCCCCCGGCAGAAGGGGCCCTGCGCTGCTGGACTTCCAGGGTGCATCGGAGGCTCCTGGTGTGGCCCTGAGGATTGATGCCTTCTGCCCTCCCACTGCCAGACAATTAGTCAGCAGGTTCTTCAAGCCATCTAGTTATGTTATTTGAACTTGGATTTTGAATCCATTGAAGTTTAGCAGAAGTTCTTTCAAGCCAAAGAAGAGACTGAGAGGAACAATGATAAAATATGAAAGGATGGGGTGGAGGCCCATCTGAGCAGCGGTTCTGTCGTCGACTACTTTTTTTTTTTTTTTTTTGAAGCGGAGTCTCACTCTGTCACCCAGGCTGGAGTGCAATGGCACAATCTCAGCTCACTGCAACCTCCACCTCCCGGGTTCAAGCGATTCTTCTGACTCAACCTCCCGAGTACCTGGGACTACAGACATGCGCCAGCATGCCCGGCTAATTTTTGTATTTTTAGTAGAGACAGGGTTTTGCTATGTTGCCCAGGCTGGTCTCGAACTCCTGACCTCAGGTGATCCACCCACCTCGGCCTCCAAAGTGCTGGGATTACAGGTGTGAGCCACTGCACCCAGTTGTCAACTACTTCTAATAACTTATCACTGACATCAATTGTCAGTATCATCCCTGATGAAAATGCCTATTTAAATGATACTGGATATGAATTATATTTTAACCTCCTAACAGTCCATCTTGAGTCACTAGCACTCTGTTGAATCATAATTTCTGCTACAAATTTTGTGTATGAATAAGAATTATTGAGCATTTGAAGAGAGTTATTGAATAGCTTGACTCTGGAGAAAGAAGTCTCTTACCCAGGCCTAAAATTCCATTTTGAATGCTCAATTTTTATTTCCATTTATGAGAATTTAAAACTGGCACTAGCTTTCTATTTCCCGCCTGTAACATTCCTCTGATTCATAATCTTCCTCCACCTTTATTTTTTTAATTTTTTGAGACAGAGTCTCGCTCTGTCTCCCAGGTTGGAGTGCAGTGGTGCAATCTCAGCTCACTGCAACCTCTGTCTCCTGGGTTCAAACGATTCTCCTGCCTCAGCCTCCCTAATAGCTGGGATTACAAGCACCCATCACCACACCTGGCTAATTTTTGTATTTTTAGTAGAGACGAGGTTTCATCCTATTGGCCAGGGTGGTCTCGAACTCCTGGCCTCAAGTGATCCACCCACCTCGGCCTCCCAAAGTGCTGGGATTACAGGTGTGAGCCACTGCTTCCGGTCACCTTTACAAGATTACCCCATGAGTGTTAGCACTCATGTGACGTGACCTGTGACCAGTGTTTTCTACCTCCTGGAATGCCCTGGTCACTGGCTGTGGTTTCTTTAGGAGGAAGGCTGTGATTCTCACTTTCTGCCTGCCACAAGTCCAACTCCATGTAAAGAAACAGTTGCATGTGTTCGCATTGTCCTTTGAACACTTCCTGCGTGCAGATCACGGCAGTCCCTGTTAACTCACGTTCTGCTTAGGGAGATAACACAAGTGCCCCGCAAAGACCCGAGGACACTGGTGGAGTAAGTACTCTGGGCGAGTTAGGACTGGGAAGGGTGACCTGCCCACAGTCCATCTCCCTTCTTCAGCCACATCTTCTTGAATGAATGGGTCCTGGGCCATAGAGTGTCCAGCCATCTATGTGTAGCCTGGCACAAACCAGGTCAATCGGATTCTCACCCTTAGGAATTTGAACTCAGAAACATGGGGAGAATTTGGTAAGTGGAGCTAAAGAAGGTCATGAGTTTGAGTCAGAATTAGAGCAAGCCAAACTCTACGGGCTGGAACCTCCACTCCTGGCATGTTGTCAATTCTATCTGATGAATGAACAAATAGAAGCCAGGCGGGGAGGGAATAGAAGAGTGAGTTGAGCAAGGAACCTGGGAGTGAGAAGGCTAGGACAGATCAACAGGGAGAAGCAAGCATGCCAAGAAAGACCAGTCTTTACAGGTGTCTGAGTTGTTGAACTTTCCAGCTCACATGTGCCCTTACAAAAGGTGGTCTTTCTTCTTTGCTAGAGAAAGGGCTTGAGAATAAGACAAAGGAGTGTGTTTATGAGCAGAGGCCAAATACCATTCAGAAACCCCATGGAAAATTACCAGAAAATACAGGGGAAAGGATGGAAAAAACTCACAGTTTATCAGAGAAGCCTTCTCAGAGGAGGTAAGCTTTGTATCAGTCTTTCTGTTGACTCAAAGCGGTAGCTGTATATTGCTACAGCAATTTTCTCTGTATAGTGTAATAATATTTCCTTTGAAAAATTGTTCTGGCTGGGTGCAGTGAAATACTGCAATCCCAGTATTTTGGGAGGCCAAGGTGAGAGGATTGCTTGAGGCCAAGAGTCTCAGACAAGCCTGGGCAACATGGCAAGACCCTGTCTTTACCAAAAAAAAAAAAAAAAAAATTAAAAATTTAGCCAGGCATTGTGGCATGCACCTATAGTCCCAGCTATTAGGGAGGCTGAGGTGGGAGGATTGCTTGAGCCCAGGGGTTCGAGGCTGCAGTGCACTTTGATTGCACCTGTGAACAGCAAATACATTCTAGCCTGTGGTAACAGAGGGAAACCCTGCCTCTAAAAATAATAATGATTTTTTTCAAGGAAAAATAGTTCTAAGAATGTTCATGATGTAGTAAGATAGGGAAGAGGGTGGGACAGAGAAGCAAGATACAGATACTATGTCTAACAACATCAGTGGTACAATCTTTTTGATTTCAAATATTGTAGTTGTAGGTTTCTACGTAAATTTTAAAATCCAGGAAGATACTTGTCAAACTGTTCACAGGGCTGTCCCTAGAGCATGGGTGAAGTGGGGTGGAGGGAGTTCAATAACAATTTTGTGCTTTTTTTTAAAATCTATCCTCCACCAATTTGATTTCCCTTACTTTATAGAAGCCAAATAATCAAACTGCACTTCAATTATCCTTTTAACGGTAGTACCTAAGAGCAGCGAAATAGTCAAGAGGCAAGCAGAAGACAGGAGACAGGTTTGAACCACTGTTTTCTGGCTGGGCCTTTGGGTGGAATTGGATCATCCTCTCCTGCTTTCATAGGAAAAGGCTGAAAAGGGAAGCTTCATCCTTCTACAGACCCTTGTTTTCTCTCCTGCTCCTCTGTGCAACCTTTTCTTACTCTGCTTTTCCAAGCGGAATTAAGTCATCCCTCCTTTCTCAAAACACCTTTTTTTTTTTTTTTTGAGACAGAGTCTTGCTCCGTCACCTGGGCTGAAGTGTAGTGGCGCAATCTCGGCTCACTGCAACCTCCGCCTCCCAGGCTCAAGCGATTCTCCTGCCTCAGCCTCCAGAGTAGCTGAGATTATAGGCATCAGTCACTATGCCCAGCTAATTTTTGTATTTTAGTAGAGATGGGGTTTCGCCATGTTGGCTAGGCTGGTCTCGAGCTCCTGACCTCAAGTGATCCACCCGCCTCAGCCTCCCAAAGTGCTGGGATTACAGGCGTGAGTCACTGTGCCCAGGCTCAAAACATCTTTTGGATACTTGTAGGGTAGCACAAATGATAAAATGTTCTTATACCATTCATTTACACACTGGGTCCCTCACAAAACCGTGAGCTCCTGGAAGGCAGAGAGCATCTGCTTTTCATCTGTGCATCCTCATTTCTCAGCACAGTGCCAAGCACACAACGGTCCCTTAATATGTATTCCTGGAAAAAAGGAATGCACAAGAGAAGTATAAGAGAAGTGGAGACGGCCAGGCATAGTGGCTCATGCCTGTAATCCCAGCACTTTGGGAGGCTGAGGTGGGCAGATTGCTTGAGCCCAGGAGTTCAAGACCAACCTGGACAACATGGCAAAACCCCATCTCTATGAAAAATACAAAAATTATCTGGGCATGGAGGTGTGTGCCTGTAGTCCCAGCTACTCAGGAGACTGAAGAGGAAGCATCGCTTGAGCCCAGGAGGTTGAGCTATGATTGCGCCACTGCACTCCAAACCTGGGCAACAGAGACCCCGTCCTCCTTCCAACTCAAAAAGAGAGAGAGAAGTGGTGAGTTAGGAATAAAAATTAGAAAAAAAAATTAAAGAAATAAGAATACGGCAGAGAAAAAAAAATAGACAGAAGTAGGCAGCAGAAGGAATGTGAAGGGATTTGATCATGGTTAACTCTTTTTTTATTCCAAGGGAGAGTGAGCTGTCTCCCACGCTGACATTTCAGAAGGAGAAATCATGTTCTATGAGTCTCAATTCAATCTACTCACTCAGTCTACAGGCTTCAATTTCCTCGCTCGCTCCTCCTTACCCTTGCAATGCTTGGCTCCAAATAAAGCTACCAGATCTCTTTCTCCACAGCATGGCTCCTTGGGGTCTCAAGGTAAAAGAGAAAAGACAAAGTCGCTGTGGATTGCAGAACTGATTAATCTCGTGATGCCTGTTGAAAAAGACTATGACCCTTTTCAAGCATTCACCACGGCTTCATAGATGGGAGTGCTACAATATTTCCCCAGCCTTCTCCAATCTGTGGGCCCTCAGAAAATGCACACGCCCTAATGGGTTTGCACCATTAATGAAGGAGACTGGAGAGGACTGTCTGGTATTTCTCTGACCCGAGGCATGGCCTTCAATTATGTCAGAGTCTTCAGCCCTTTTAAGGTGTCATTTGCCTGAGTTTCACAGAAAGGATTATGAAGCAGCGAAGGTTCCTTCATGAGGGATAGAGCAACTAGCGACCTTGGCAAAGAAAAAGAAAGCTATTATGCCAACACTAAGCTACTGGGAGGAAATAATCCCAGACCCCTGACTTGGAGACAAAGACAACGGGAGATGAAAGAGGGTTTAAGATCACCTACCTACCCTTCAGCTGGGACCCGTTTACTCCAATCCTGATTCCTGCCCTTCTAAGTCCTCTGATAAGTGTGCCATGCAGTTGTACTGTGGTAACTGGAAAGACATGGAAGGGGACATTTTCAAACCACCCAGATTCTTTACTTGGATTAACCCAGTACTGATTCGAGGAACTCTGCGCCTTACTTTGCTCTTTAATGCTGGGTTTAACAGCTTCCTGGTAGGAAACAGATTTGGGTTTCTGAAGCTGGATCCGTGGTGAAAAGACTGAGCCTTGTGGTTAGAGTTCACTTCCATGTAGGAGTGTTGATGCAGTGTTTTTTATTTTAGTAAGCAGAAGATATCATTCTGTGCAGGGGAACACCTGTTCTCCACACTTCCAACTGTCATTTCCTTCCTGCAGGCAGGAAGTCAAAAATCGAGTCTCTAAAATTGTTAGGAAGATCATTTGTAATCTCAAGGTTTGCTCATTGTTTTCAGTGTAGGGTCTGTGAAACACAATGTACAAACTGCCAGGAATGTTCTGGCATATCCGTGGTTTGTTTCCTGTGATCTTATGATGTGCAAAAAGACAGGAGCTAGTGGCAGTGAAACTGCTCTTGGGATGGAGCTGAATGTACATAGAGCCTAGGGAAGAAGTGAAAGTAGGTTCCGGGGCCTGGTTTACTGATTATTTGAAATTTCCAGAGTTGCTGATCATCGCACGCAGGCATGACCAATCAATCACTTGAAGAGAATTTAGTAAGATGATATTACTATCTGATATAAGCCCCCTTGACCAATTTCATGCTATCATAGTCCAGATTATGCTAAATATATACTATAGGAAAAAGTATTATTTCATCTGTTTGGCTATCAAATAAGCAACTTTGTAAAAGCAAAGGTGACAGTGTATTCACTTTTGTGGCCCTTTTATAACTGGTGACTCTATTGTTGTTTTTTTTTTTGTTTTTGTTTTTGTTTCTTGAGACGGAGTCTCGCTGTGTCACCCAGGCTGGAGTGCAGTGGCGCAATCTCAGCTCACTGCAAGCTCCGCTTCCTGGGTTCAGGCCATTCTCCTGCCTCAGCCTCCTGAGTAGCTGGGACTACAGGTGCCCACCACCAAGCCCAGCTAAATTTTTGTATTTTTAGTAGAGACGGGGTTTCACCGTGTTAGCCAGGATGGTCTCGATCTCCTGACCTTGTGATCTGCCCTCCTGGGCCTCCCAAAGTGCTGGGATTACAGGTGTGAGCCACCACGCCTGGCCGACTCTGTTCTTGAAATTAACAAAATGTATAGGAAATCCTTACTTAAAAAAAAAATTATGCTCCCTTAAAATGTCATTCCATTAAAATTTCCCAGATCTTAAAAGGGAAAGAAAGTGAATTAAAATTTCCGACTCCACTATGTAGTCATCACACAAATTGTGTGTGTGGTAATGTGTAAATGAGCTAGAAATTTTTAAAAAACTGTATTAAAGGAAAAAAGGAAGTCCCTTCACTGTTTGCAACAATTCTCAAATTTTATTTTTCAAGGGACTAAAACAAGTTAGCCTTTTGGTATTCCAGAGTAACAAATTTAAACAGACAAAAATGTAGGTTCAGGCCTAATCAATTAGCATAAATTCATCCCAAAGTTCACAAGGATGCTTTAAACTAAATTTCCCACATCTTCACTGTTGAGGACTTAATAAGTTTGCAACTCTCCAATTCTTCCGTACGTAACTTAAAATATCTTAAAATAACTATTAGTAGTCCTGCCCACCATATATTCACAAAGTAAGCAAAAATGATAATTGTGCAGTTAATGTGATCACTGTAGATAAAAGTTAAAATTTCTAGCCGGGTGCGGTGGCTCATGCCTGTAATTCCAGCATTTTGGGAGGCCAAGGCGGGCGGATCACCTGAGGTCGGGAGTGGTGAGCCAAGATCGCGCCATTGCACTCCAGCCTGGGCAAAAAGAGCAAAAATCCGTCTCAAGAAAAAAAAAAAAAAAAAATTCTGAGTGATCTGCCTGTATGCAGTGCTTCCTTACTCCACTGGGTGGCGCAGGTTTGGTTTTGTTCTGTTTTCATCACAATTTTTGAGTTGATACCCACATATACGTATGTATTTTTTTGGGACACGGTTTCACTCTGTTGTCCAGACTGGAGTGCGGTGGCGCGATCTCGGCTGACTGCAACCTCTAACTCCGGGGTTCAAGCGATTCTCCTGCCTCAACCTCCCGAATAGCTGGGATTATAGGCATGCACCACCATGCCCGACTAATTTTGTATTTTTAGTAGAGACGGGGTTTCACCATGTTGGCCAGGCTGGTCTCAAACTCCTGACCTCAAGTGATCTGCCTGCCTCGGCCTCCCAAAGTGCTGGGATTGCAGGTGTGAGCCAATGTGCCTGGCCTTGAGTTGATATTTTAAAAGATATTATAGGCTTGAAATCTTCCAACCTTAATTATTCCTTTTTAAAATTTAGGCTATTAAGTTGTGAGTCTTGTGGAGGATCATACGCCATCTTGAACTATGTAAATTTGGCTCATTTAGTTTGATATTTAGTGAGGTACGTCAGAGCTCATCTCAAAAGCCACTTAGATCAAAGCCCTAGGCTTCACCATAATTTTCCAGGCCTTCCACGATCTCTCCCCTACCACCTCTCTCTCTGACTAAATTTCCTCTCTCCTTGTCCTCCTCAATATTCTTCAAACACACCAAGCATAAAGGCTTCTGTTAGACTTTGCCCTGTTATTCTCTTGGCCTGGAAAACTCCCCAGAGATATCCAAAAAGCCAACCGCCTCCCGTTCTTCAGGTCTTAAGTGACATCTTCTCATGAGATAATTTATCTAAAATTTCATCAACTCCCCCAGCTTCCTATCCCTCTTTCTGCCTCATTTTTATCATGTAACACTATCTAACATAATATTTTACTTTTATGTTACTTGCCTGTCTCCCTCAAACTGAAATGTAAGTTTCTTGACAGCAGGAATTTTTACCAATTTTTTTTCCTTGAGACGGAGTTTCGTTTTTCTTGCCCAGGCTAGAGTGCAATGGTACGGTCTGGGCTCACTGCAACCTCCGCCTCCTGGGTTCAAGCAATTCTCCTGCCTCAGCCTCCCAAGTAGCTGGGATTACAGGCGCCCGCCACCATGCCCGGCTAATTTTTTTGTATTTTTAATAGAAACAGGGTCTCACCATGTTAGCCAGTCTGGTCTTGAACTCTTGACCTCAGGTGATCTGCCTGCCTCACCCTCCCTAAGTGCTGGGATTACAGATGTGAGCCACCGTGACTGGGCACCAATTTTTTTTTGAGACAAGGTCTCACTCTGTTGCCAGGCTGGAGTGTAGTAGTGCAATCCTAGCTCACTGCAGCCTTGAAATCCTGGGCTCAAGTCATCCTCCCACCTCAGCCTCTTAAGTAACTGGGACTTAGGTGGTGCATATCACCACCTTAGCCACCTCCTGCCTAATTTTTATTTAGTAGATACAGGGTCTCGCCATATTGCCCAGGCTGGTCTCAAACTCCTATCTTCAAGTGATGCTCCCACCTCAACCTCCCAAAATGCTAGGACTATAGGCATGAGTCTAATTTTGTTTGTTTGTTTGTTTGTTTTTTAATAGTTTAAGCACAGAGAATGGGCCAGTTGTTATTCAGGAAATTTTACCTGAACCTCCAGGTTGAGCACACGAGTTCAAGACCAGCCTGGGCAACATGGTGAGACTCCATCTCCACAGAATATCAAAAACTGGCCACACGTGGTGGTACACGCCTGTAGCCCAGCTACTCAGGATGCTGAGGTGGGAGGATTGATTAAGCCCAGGAGGTCAAGGCTGCAGTGAACTATGATCATGCCACTGTATTCCAGTCTGGGCAATAGAGTGAGATCCCGTCTCAAAAAAAAATAAATTACAATAAAATTCATTTAAAAATTGAGCAGACATTTATTGCAATTCATGAATCAGGACAGCATCTCATTCTATAAAATAGTATAAAAACCTTGACGAGTAGAGCAGAAGAGACTGGCTGTATAGACAGAAAAGGGCTGAAGAGAGCAGAAATAAGAAACGAATAGCAGATATGGTCTTTTAATAATTACTTTATAAGTTTACATCAGAGGGGGCCTCCTTAGCATGTTGGCTCAGGTACACTGGGCCCCTTCTGATTGGCTGCTATAAATCTCCAGGTGTTTGGAAAACTTCTCAAAGTTCAATTTGATGACATGGCACTTTCAACTTTCAACTGGTGACTGCATTTGGGTTTAGTCTGATCTGCTGGGAGCCTAGATCAAAATAATGGCCTCCCATAAATTTCATTCAACACTAGTCTAGCTGGATTCTTTCAAAGGTCCTAATGGAAATACACTAAATTTGCTACAAAACACTGAGATAACCAAAGACCAGATCTAATTACCCAGCTGCAAGCAGTATTGGTCCCTATTTCTTCTTATCATACTTACATTCTAACCTTGTGCTATAGTTTCACATGCATATTTCTCTTATTCATTTTACTTCCTTAAAGGTGGTGACAGTATCTTGTGTTGGGGGAATCCCAAGACCACCACCCGTTTCAATAAATGTGTAGGAATCACAGGAGTCAGATATGATTGTACTCAGGGCTATGATTTTTTACACTGAAAGAACTTGAAGGAAAATCAGCAAAGGGAAATGGCACAGGTGATGAAGTCCATGGGAAACAGGGTACCAGTTTGCACAAGTCCTCTCCCAGTTGAGTCAAACAGGACCTGTTGAGTTCCCGCAGCAATGGGCCATGACAACACATGAAATGTTGCCACCAGGAAAGCTCCTCAGTGACTCGGTGCCCATGGTTTTTACGGGGCGCTGGTCGCCAAGGCACATTCTGCCTGGAACCCACCAAACTTCCAGACTCCCAGAAGGCAAGCAGGTGTTCAGCATAAACCACATCATTGACGCAAATCATTTAGGCACAGTGAGCCACTCTTATCAATTCTGGGAATTGTGGGAACCCTCCCGAAATTTAAGTTCCCAGACGCCAGCCAAGGGCCAACTTTGTAAACAGGCCTTTCAAAAGACAGCAGTCCAGCCTGCTCAGTTAACTGTTTTCTGTCCACTTACTCAATGTTAGATCCTTCTAGTGGTTAAACATCTGCTAAATTCTATTTTGACCTTTATATCATTGTTAAAATGAAACAATGGGAATTAAATGAAAACATCATACATACCAACAATTAGTTACACTTTTAAACTGTTTGCATGTATATTTTTTAAAACTGTATCTTGCCATTTGAGTATATTTTTTGTTCCTATATTATTTAAGCATGGATAAGCCAATTTAATGTAAACACCTAGTCATCATCGTAAGTACAGAAGTAAACAAAATGTAATGGTTTAAATCACCACCAAAGAGGTAGTGGCCCAGGTATGACTTCTATTTTCAACATTTATGTATGATCTGACTTAAGGTATTTAAATTAATCTATATGACCCTCCTCTGTAATAACAATAATACTTTGGACTTACAGTACAAGGCCAGCATCAGACTGTTGATGGATTGATTCAGGCTAGTAATAAACCTACTAGTCTCAATAATTTAAAATATTTGGATGACTGGGAGCCGGGTATGGTGGTGTGCCCCTATAGGCTCAGCTACTTAAGAGGCTGAGGTGGGAGGATCACTTGAGCCTAGGAGTTCAAGACCAGCCTGGGCAACATGGCAAGACCCTGTCTCTTTTAAAAAAACAAAAATTTTTTTGAGTGACTGGACAACTCTAATTGCTGGTAGGATCCAAGCCTACTGATGCTAACAGATATTTCAGCAAGACTCTGGTGGAGTCTGAAGTAAGCCCCTGTGGCTCACCAGGGGGTTGTAAGAATGACTTCTGCTGTGCCATGACAGGGCCCAAAATGATGCTCTACAAATCAGACACTGTGTCCTTGGGAAGAGAAGAAAGCGAAGTGAAACGTCTGCCTTGGCAGATCACCAGTGACTTTTATCATCTTTTTTCTCCCTGGAAGATGCCAATGACCACAATCTACAAAATCCTGCCTAGTGTGTTTCCTTAACAGACTCCACTCTATTGCAAAGGACTCGTATATGCTTAAAGGAAAGCACAGAGGTTCCTTTGATTTTGACTTGGAATATAACTGGTTCCTCTTCACAGCTCCTGGCTATCATGGGAATAATGAGACAAGAGGCTCAACTGGTAGGATGGGGCAAGATTAGGGGAAGCCTTGAAATCTAGGCTGGAGAGTTTTAAACCAACTCTAGGATAGAGGTTCATAAGAAAGGCTACAGAAAAGAGTTCTAGGCCGGGTGTGGTGGCTCATGCCTGTAATCCCAGCACTTTGGGAGGCGGGCAGATCACCTGAGGTCAGGAGTTTGAGACCACCCTGGCCAACACGGCAAAACTCCATCTTTACTAAAATTACAAAAAAAAAAAAAAATATCAAGGCATGGTGGTGGGCACCTATAATCCCAGCTACTCAGGAGGCTGAGGCAGGAGAATCTCTTGAACCTAGGAGGCAGAGGTTGCAGTGAGCCGAGATCGTGTCACTGCACTCCAGCCTGGGTGATACAGCGAGAGTCCGTCTGAAAAAAAAAAAAAAAGAGTTCTAAAGGGTCCCTGAAACACCTGAAATTATACGTAAACCTCTGGGCAGGAGTATTTTTCTAGTGAAAGGGTCCCTAGCTTTCCTCAATTTTCAAAGGTAATTGTGACCTCAGAATGTCTGTGAAGCTTTACACCAAGTAGGTGAAGACACTTGTTGGAAAGGAGGAGGCTGCATAGTATCAGTGTTTCCCAAACTAGTGTGACCTAAGGACTCCTGCGGGGGTGGGGAGGCACCTGCTAATTATAGCTTTCCAGTCCCATCCCAGATTGACTCAATCAGAATCTGCAGGCAAAAGGCCTGGGAATCTGTATTTTACCAAGTACCCCTCTGATGTCGTTTGGAAAATAGAGGACTTGGGCATCTTTAAAATCCATATGTCAGGTTAAACATTTCACAACTCCCGGATTTTTATGGGCCTATTTCTATTGGTAAAGGCCTGCAGTACTCTATTTCTTGAGGGTTGCTAGGAAAATGGCCCCTCAGGGGCTCACTTCTGATGCTTTCAGAAGACGTGGCTCTGAAGTTCCCTGCATCTAATTCTCTTCTCCGGAAAATTCAAATTGAACCATTTTAAAAATCTTGATCCACATTATAATTCATTATGTGAATCTCTAACAGAAAATTAAGACATAAAGGCAACAGCTACCCCTTGTCTAGCATACGGCCTATAGCATGACCATCCTTCTAATTCTGCGGAGAAACATCAGCCCCTGCTCTTTAATTGTTGAGAAAACCCAGAATGGTCCACATATTAAGGAAATAAAATTGTAAAAATCGGTGCATTCCAGATGTCATGAGAAAACAGTGAATCATAAATGAACTGTCCTGCAGCGTTATGTTTTTTCCCAAATAATCTGTCTGAAGTCTAGATCATCTTCCGTTAAATGGCTAATTTGGATTTTTCAAGAGTCAATCTCAGCAGCGCCACCTACTGATAATTTAAATTCAGTACTTTATGTAAATTCTTAGCAATGTACACAGCAAATTAACTCGAAAGAACCTAGAACATGTTTTGGGTTTTCATAAAATAATAGGCATGGTAATATAACTGCCAGAGGAAAAATTTAATGTTTTTGCAGGTGGTGAGCTAGACAATGCCTGCTTCAATTGAGTATGTCTCCAGCATGCTGGCTCTCCTCCACTTCTCTCCCTGTCCTCAATATTTCCCCATCACTCTGTATTCGAGTTGGGTTTGGCCAGTGAGAGGACTGGCAGGAGGCCAAAGGGCA